>NC_000005.10:165761324-166064354 GCF_000001405.40 Homo sapiens | reverse complement strand
CCTCTCTGTGTGCACACAATCGGGGTGGCCAAGTCAGGATACAATGAGAAGGCAGCCAGGGAGAGGGCCCTCACCAGGAACCAAATGGGCTGACAACTTGAGCTGGAACTTTTCGTCCCTTCATAACCATGAGAAAATAGATATTTGTTGTTTAAGCCACCCAGCCTATCCTGTTTTGGCATTTGATTATGGCATCCTGAACAGACTAATACAATCATCTTACAAAAAATGAGGTGAATTAAAGAAAAAAGATCAGGAAAGAGCAAAGAAACAAAGTGACTTCTGTGGTCAGTTCTTAAAATAAGTTGCATACGGAGATAAATTATTCATTCTGTGATCAAGAAAATATGGAACAAATAAAGAATTATTACCAATATTGAACACTAGGTAAGAAAACTGTTCTTACTAGAGAAGGATTAATTTCCTATGAACTTTCTGCCTCTAATAAGAATGTATAACAGTTGTTATATATATAATATCTTGTAACAAGATATATTTTTATATTATTTTATTATATTATATCTTTATATTATTATTTTTCCTCCTACTGGTTTCCAAACTCTTTGGGGCCAATAACTCTATGTGTGTCTATATTTATATCCACAGCCACATCTATGTCTAATAAAGGCTTGATGACAGTCCCTGGTTTATATTTCGTGAATATATATTGATTGATTCATAGATTTAAAGGATAGCCTATCACATCATATTTTTATTATCCATTTTCTTGCCCATATCCCTAGCAGACTACAAATTCCTTGAGAGCAGAAACTGTGTTTTTTCATCATGTAGTAGGTATTCAATAAATAGCTACTGAGTGTAAATAAATGACATAATAAATCAAACTGAAAACAGGAAGCTGTGAGTTGAGTGTAAGAGACTTCTTTCTTGAATGGAAATTAATTGTGAAAATGTCTCTGCAGTGGGAAGCCACTGTCATCGGGGACTTTCACAGGAAGCTTGGAGAATGCTAAAAACTAACAAATGTGCTGGAGGAGCCTAAAAGCTGAGATTCTGTGTTGAGGAGGCTTTGAAACAGATAACTTCCTTCATATATTATAGAGTCATATACATTTAGAATAAAATAAATTAACACTGAAACGCAAAGAAAGTATACATACACACATACATACATACATTCATACATACATACACACACACACACACACACACACACGAAGCTTATTGCTTCTTTGTCAGCGTGTACATAGACAAGAAGCAATACAAAGAAGGAAGCTCATTGACCTTATTTTGAAGCATTTACAAAACATAATGATTTCTGTTTAATCTATTGAAAATACCTCAGAATGCTAAAGGAAAAGTTGTTTTACAGCTCAGGAGTCTATAAAGGTTCTGACAAATACTCTTTCCTTTTCAGTTGTCCAACATACCCAATGCCTGACCTTTGTCCACCTGGAAGCATCTGTTCCTTGACTGTTTTGATCAGAGTGTACCAACAAAGATAAACACAGCTAATTGCCTTCTCTACTGCAGTACAAGCTAGTTAAAGACAATAGTAACAGCAAAACCATGAGACACCTCAGACCCCACATCACCCAGTGCTTTAGAAAATTTTCAAGGGCAAATGTACTTGGCATTGAATTTAGGTTTGAATGGAAGCAACATCTCTCTCCTGAATGGTAGCTTTAAAGAATAATTAGAAAGCACTGTAATAAAAATTTTATTTTCTGAAATCCTACATCTGGTCGTGCAACATGATGTCAGTATAAGTGGAAAACAGTTTATTTTAAAGGAAAAAAGAAAAGAGAGTATAAAGAACTGAAATGAGAGATTTGAGTGAATGAAGGAGGGGAAAAGGAGGAAAGAAAGAAAACAGCAAAAATCAAGATTCTGTTAGAGTATGCCAAAGGTCAAATTATGTTTAATAACCTTTCTAATTTTATGAGGTATAAATATGATGATAGTTATGTCATGACATCATTTAGCCCTAGAATTGAAGGAGTGCTTGGTCATTTAGATAATGGAGCCGAGGATGGTAATAGGATGAAACAGATAGTGCAGGGTGACAGGTTAGTTCTTCTAGGATCATAGGCTTCTTCCTAGTGCTGCATAAAAGGGATTATTATATTGGCTTTCAGAAGTATCTTGACATTTCCATTAAAATCATGATTTTGACAGGTTTATGTATTCAGCCCTTTTCATTTGCATGGGATTGAAACTTGACATTAAAAATCCTCAGACCAAATGCATTTTAAACATCATGCATACTTTCATATTTATGTATGCACACAGTAAATGCAACATGTAAGCCTACACAATATATATCAAGTTTTAATAGGTCTTATACTTTATAGTATTTACTGAATTCCTCAATGCCTTGGAACGTGTTAAATAATCTACCTAAAAGATGAAAAATACTTGAAGAGTTTGAATGAATGTGGTCTGGATGAAAAGCTGTATTTTTGGTAGTAGCCAGGATACTGGCTGCTTAATAAGTTAAGTATTCTAGGCTTTCAGTACAACTCGTTTTATTTGGTGAAGGCTTTTATATCATTTTAATGTGCTATCACTATTTTTTCATACCTTTTGGCTTTTATTTTTCAAGGGCTGTGCAATTTCATTCAAAAGCATCACATTTTATTCATTGAAAGTCACCAGCATAGACTTCTTATTATCCCTTATTAAGTCAAATTGGGCTTTCTCTACTGTGTTCTATGCCCTTACTACTCAAAGAGTTTTCAAAGGACCAGCAACACTGGTACCACCTGGGAGCTTGTTGGAAATGCAGAGTCTCAGGCCCCACACCTGACCTACCCAAATCAGAGTTTTCCTTTTAGCAGGATACCTAGGTAATTCCCAGGCACATTAAAGTTTCAGGTGCTCTGGTCTAAACAATACTCAAAAGAAAAACAAGCAAAAACTCTGTAAAATATTCTTAGATTTTCTCTTTTTAAATTACCAATATATTTAGAAATAATCAAAGACCAAAACTTTCACTGGAAACTTGATGTCATGTGCAGATGTCTCAAAACCTTGAGAGTTTAGCATGCCATTTCTACTGCTGTTAAAGCTCTCTGTAGCAGGAGTGACAAACTGGTCCCTGAGCCAAATCGAGATCATAGCCTGTTTTTATATAGCCTGTGAGCTAAGAAAAACTTAAATACTCTTAAATGATTGAGAAAAGTCAAAGGAAGAGTATTTCATAACACATAAATATTATAACATTCAAATTTCAAAGTCCATAAATGAAGTTTTAGACAATTTATTATCTATGGCTATAATGTCACAGTTGAATAGTTATAACAGAGAACATATGTCTTGCAAAGACAAAAATATTTATCATTTGGCCCTTTAAGGAAAATAAAAGTGGAACCCCACTCTAAAATATAGATCTGTGTGTGTGTGACATGTGACAATACCGTTAAGTATGAACCCACTTTGTTCAATAAAATTATTCAGTGTTCTTTAGAAATTTGGACACTCGAGCTAGGTGAATAGAGAAATAAATACATAAATCTGAAATTACTTTTATTCTGCTTTGAGATCATTAAATGAAAAGTTTCATATCATAAATATCCATAACATATTACATTGTTAAGCTTTTAGATTAGTGCATGTCTTAGTCTGTTTTGGGCTATTATAACAACATATCTGAGAATAGCCCACTTAAAATAAACAGAACTGTATTGGCTCACAGTTCTAAAGGCTGGAAAGTTCAACTTCAAGATGCCAGCATCCAGCAGGGGCATTCTTGCTGCATCATCACATGGAGGAAGGCAAGAGGGTGAGAGAGTAAGAAGGGGTTGAACGCACCCTTTTACAACTGCAGCCATGATGGTGGAGCCCTCGCAGCCTAATCAACAATTAATGGTCTCACCTCTTAATATAATACTGTTACAAAAGCAATTAAATTTTAACATCCATTTTGGAGGAGACCAACATTCAAACCGCAGCATTATATAATTACTTCAGAATGATGTTTAACTGCTATAGCCACAATTTAGGAGGGTAATATGCTAGGAAGCCTTGTGGATGCAAAATTTACTTTATATCAACTTGAGTTTTCAAAATTAGGACAAAGCTCCTGTGAGTCATTCTTCAGAACCTCTGATGTTTCTTGTTTAGTGTGGCTCTTTAATTTTTTTTTTTTTTTTTTTTTTTCCAGAGTGGACATCTCCAAAATTGACCACATCTACAAAGATTTGACAAATCCATTCCAGGGCATGGTCAAAAAAATAAAATAGATAAAAACTGTTGGTGAGTAGCAAATATCTGTCACAGAGGCCCTGAGTTTTACTCTAAAGGAAGAAGGAAGAGCAGTAGTTCAGGCAGTTGTATGTAAAATACTGTAGCCGATTAGAAGACAGCAGTGATGGGACTTGAGAAAGATAGAACTAGTACTGCAACCTATGACTTAGGGAAAGGACAGAGGATCTCAAAAGTCTGTGAAGGCATTACTATAATATGGTAGAATATAATGATGGCCTTCATAATGATGGCTCTGAGTTATGGAGGAAAGAGATACTTAGAATAGTTAGTACTCTCTGTTTAACGTAATAATAATAATCACAAAACAATGTCATGGTTGACATTGCCACTGTGAATCTTTATAAGAATTGAAATCCACACTAGAAAAAGCAATGTGCAAAGCAACAAGACTTATTAAAAAAGGTTAATCAGGCCAAGTGCGTGGCTCATGTCTGTAATCCCAGCACTTTGAGAAGCCAAGGTGGGAAGATGCTTGAGCTCAGGAGTTCAAGACCAACCTGGGCAACATAGGGAGAGCCTGTCTCTAAAAAAAATTTTTTTTAAATTAGCTGGGCATGATGGCATGGACCTGTGGTCCCAGCTACTTGGGAGACTGAGGTGGGAGGGTGACTTGAGCCTGAGAGGCTGAGGTGGGAGGGTGACATGAGCCTGCGAGATTGAGGCTGCAGTGAGCTATGATCATACCACTGCACTCTTGCACTGGGTGACAGAGTAAGACCCTGTCTCAAAAAAAAAAAAAAAAAAAAAAAAAAGAGGTTAATCATGTTTTAAAAACAAGAAATGTACCCAGAAAGAGATTCCCAGTCACCTATGGGGTCTTTACATAGTTCTTCAATAATGCATAGTATATGTCTCACATTTAGTTAAATAAATTATCTTGAAAATGCGTAAACGTGTCTATTCCATTGCTTGCCTCCTAGAATAAAATATGTTGCATTGCATTCTAGCAACGAGCACCATTTTAGCATTCAGCTAGTGCTTCCTTCATGGGCTGTAACTTGGCTCATTCATCAGCCTCAAATGGGCTAATTTAAAATAGTCTGAGAAAGAAAAGGGGGAAAAAGCTAATTGTCTGCAAAGAGGTGTTAAGAATGAAATAAAAATACAGAAAATTAGGAGTTGAAGAGGTATCTTTTTCAGCTGTCGCAGCCTACTGTCTGAAGACGCGTACCAGTAATTTGTGAAGATGTGTGGGTATTGAATTGCTCTGCGCACAAAGCCAGTCTAGTGAGTGATAACTCCAGTACCAGCTTTGACTTGAGTGGATTAGGTGCTAAGTGGGTTTAACAAAATTACCCAGAGCATTACATCATATTCCTCCCACTTCTTGTGACAGAAGCTATTATTCCTGTGGGGCTCTGCTGAAAATGAAGTGGTCAGGAGTATGAAAGGGGTGAAAGGCTATCAGGATGAGAAGGATGGAGGAAAAGGGGATCCTTACGCTGGGCCATTGCATTTTGGAAAATGGGGTAGAATTTTGCTGAAATCTGAAGTGTGTGGCTTAAAATGATATCTTCCTTATATTTTTACTCTGGTGAAGATTTAGCAAGATTATCCCCCCAAAACTTGCTACTGGCATACTTATTTTTTTTGATAAATTGAGTACTACAAGTATTTGGGATAAATAAGAACCAATCAGAGTGATCCCTTTCTTTTCCCCTCCTTCTTCCCTTAGCTCCTTAGTCCCTCCTTCCCTCTCTTCCTTCTTCCTTTCCAGCTTCATTCTTTTCTTCCCTCTCTTTCTCCCTCCCTTCTTCACTCCCTTTTCCTCCCTCATAGTATTTGCTCTCAAGCACCATACCTAAGTAACTATAATAGGGAAAAAAGAAGGAAAGGCAGCAATGAACATTCTCTAAGACATGATAAAGAATAAACTGCCTTATACAAATATTTATATCAATCACTGATCCAATATATAAATATGATACTGCAAGAGACCAAAGTACTAAGTAATGATTGAATAACTATAAAACCAGCCATGTGGGAATGTTTCTCTTTGGACCAGACAATAAGGATAAGTTCCATAGAGAAGTAAAGATAGTTAAATATAAATAATATTTTAAAAGCTTAAAATATCTGTTATCTATAACGTGATGTAATATTATTAAAAAGTCACATCATCACCTCCTGCCTTAACCTTCCAAACAAGTAGCACTTAAATTTGAAGTTCTGTGGTACTTTGCTGATAAATTATTTTCTATTGTGCAACTTGGTCTAAGTCAGAGAGAACTCAGGGACCAAACTTTTATCACATGAGGTAATTTGATTCTAGATTTGGTTTCCACCACCTTAAACAAGCATAGTAGAACACAGTTACTGTGTTGCATTTTCTTCACCTAAGAACAGGGAGAGGACAAACGAATTCTAAAGTAGGAAACGGAGTGCTTCTAAAAGAAATTCTTCTTGCAGGGTATTATATGACAATTTCACTACCAGCCAGAAAATAGTATTTTTCACTAATTAAAATATCTACCCTCATGGCAGGTGATATGTTTTGTTACCGGTCACCTAATAAATATTTAGCTGTGCAGCTGATATATCCTTCTTGGGTTTTCATTTATCACCTGTCTAACTTTGTTACCTACTATTGTGACTTTCATGATTTTTATAACTGATAAGCTCATCACAACTTGTTAAAAGTCTCATTGAGGCCACATAAACAACGACTTTTCCCAAGCTATCATGGCATGTAAGCACATTTATAATATGATCACATTTTCTTTTTTTTTTTTTGGAGACAGAATCTCGCTTTGTTGCCCAGGCTGGAGTGTGGAGTGTAGTGGTGGCATGTAGGCTCACTGCAACCTCCGCCTCCCAGGTTCGAGCAATTCGTCTGCCTCAGCTTCCCAAGTAGCTGGGACTACAGGTGCACGCTGCCACGCCTGGCTACTTTTTTTGTGTTTTTAGTAGAGACAGGGTTTCACGGTGTCGCCCAGACTGGTTTTGAACTCCTGAGCTCAGGTGATCTGCCTGCCTCGTCCTCCCAAAGTGCTAGGATTATAGGCGTGAGCTACCGCGCCCGGCCCACATTTTCTTAAGTCTGCCATACATTTGAAATTCTTTTTCTCTTTGATTCATTCAGCTGGTGCTAGTCTCTCCAAAACATAGTGGTTTCTTTTTCACAGTGCAACTAAAAGAATGGTATTTTAAACATTGGGTTTGGATTTGAAAGAGCAGTCATAAAATCTTATTCTATAATCTATCAATTTTTTTTCTCTTTGTAGTTCTTAAAAAGTCTGAATACAGAAAGAATATCTCTTAATCTAATGCTCAGTAACAACTCAGACAGAGGCACAAGATCAGCCTGATGGATGTTTGAAGACATAAAAATTGTACTTTTTTCATATTTAATTCAGATATCATGCCTTGTATAGTCTTACGCTGAAGAAATACACACGAGTAAGTACATATTTTTACTATGATCAGGAGAAACTCATAAAGCTTTGATTTCCTTTGTAGTCACTGACTTAACAATTGTGATTTTGTTCCAACACATTGAACCTGACCCATAGTTTAAAAATTATTTGAATGGCTGAAATTCTTCTTTTTAAAATGAAAAGGGGAAAGATAACTAGTAAATAACCTTACTGGTAATACAAGTTTGGAAATATCCATGAGATAGCAGAGAAAGGTTAAAATGTCTTCTAGTATATTGACTCAGAACCTGGGAGGTGAGGTAAGGGCAGATGCCAGAACTCAAGCCTTCAGAGAAGAATTAACTATTTAGAGGGAATATTTAGTTTATTTACTTTGTTTTGTTATTCTAAGGCAGATTTTCGGGTTCGATTAAGGGAAAACTTATACTTTTATTTTCAATCTAAAAAATAAATCCCCGTCTTCTGTAATGACTGTCTTTCCATTGTATATTGTGTGTGTGTATGCATGTGTGCATGTTAGAGAGAGTTCAGGTAACACCGAGAGAAAATGTCATAATGAATGGAAGAATAAATGATTATTAGTGAGAATTTTGCAGCACTGTGTCAGGAACATGCCCCAAAATAGCTTGAGGTTGATGGGGAATACTTAAAGCTGCCAGTGGTTTAACTGTTACTGACAAAAATCCCCTAGGGCGAGGCAAGTGATGAGCAGCGTAAGAAGTCAGCAGAACATGGTTCTGGACAAATGCACAAGCCCTCGTCAAAAGTGGAAACTGCCCAAATGCATCCATGTGTGTCTCCAAGCCAGCACCCAGAGCCCCACCAAATTCCATCATCTTGTAGCACAGACAGCAATGTCTCTGACAAAAGAAGCATCCTTGATGAATCCTGACTTGGGATCATCACCAAACAGAACTCTTAGAGATTAGCTGCCTTATTTTCTAACATGCCTACTTAAGTCATGACTCCTAGGTTGAGTCTATTGTTTGTAAAGTGAAACCAGTGTAACACTTTCCTTGATGTTGTGAAAAGCACTGCATCTCTCTTTCTCTCTCTATCAATCATCTATCTATCTAATCTATCTATCCATCCATCCATTTTTTTGAGACAGGGTCTCGCTCCATCTTTCTGTTGCCCAGGCTGGAGTGTAGTGGCATGATCATAGCTCACTGCAACCACAAACTTCTGGGCTCAAACAACTCTCCTGCCTCAGCCTTCAGAGCAGCTAGGACTACAGGCACAAGCCACCATGTTCAGCCAGCACTAAATAAATTTTCACAATTATCATTATTGTGGGTTTTTTTTTTTTTGACAATTTCTGGCAAAGCATAGACAGTAGAGTCCACAATTTAATTACATTTATCAATCCCTCTGTTTCCTTGGGCTGATAATAATGCATTTTGAACCCCTTAATTCTTCACTTCTTCATGATAACTTCCCAGTCATGAAGAGAATGTATAAAATGTATTGTTGATAAATATTCCTAAACCTTTTAAGACTTATTTTATAGAAAAGTTTTCAGTGATATCAAAAACACTGAAAATAAAGAGTCATATAGTTGATTTGCTGAGCCCATAGCTACTACGATTTGCCTGGAATTAAGCATGGAGTAAAAGAATGAGCATCAAGTTAGGAAAATTCCAAACACTGAAAGCAAGTGTTGGAAATCTGTTATTAAGACACTTTTAATATGACAGTAAGATAGTAGTTAAGGCTGGGCACAGTGGCTCGTGCCTGTAATCCCAGCACTTTGGGAGGCTGAGGTGGGTGGATCACCGGAGGTCAGGAATTCGAGACCAACCTGGGTAACATGTCTCTTTAGTAGCGACCAGCCTGCCTCTACTAAAAATACAAAATTAGCGGGGCATGGTGGCACACACCCATAATTGCAGCTACTCTGGAGGCTGATGCACGAGAATCACTTGAACCTGGGAGGTGGACGTTGCAGTGAGCCAAGATCGTGCCACTGCACTTCAGCCTGGGCGACAGTGAGACTCCATGTGAAAAAAAAAAAAAAAAAAAAAAAGGCCGGGCGCAGTGGTTCACGCCTGTAATCCCAGCACTTTGGGAGGCCCAGGCGGGCAGATCACGAGGTCAGGAGATCGAAACCATCTTGGCTAACACGGTGAAAACCCGTCTCTACTAAAAATACAAAAAGTTAGCCGGGCTTGGTGGTGGGCGGCTGTAGTCCCAGCTACTCGGGAGGCTGAGGCAGGAGAATGGTGTGAACCCGGGAGGCGGAGCTTGCAGTGAGCCAAGATAGCGCCACTGCACTCCAGGCTGGGCGACAGAGCAAGACTCCGTCTCAAAAAAAAAAAAAAAAAAAAAAAAAAAAAAGAATAAGAATAAGATAGTAGTTAAGAAGGAAATTCTTTTACCTAATTGAAAAAATATTCCAGGGTGTTCTTTATGTGATGAAAATGCATGGCAAAGCAATGAGCAAAGCATGTTCAGAATTCTTTTCCTTCCAAAGGCATACATAGGAAGCAGAAAGGTTTAAAATTCTTTTTTCTAAAAAAGAAATGTATTTCTACTTATTCCTTTTTTTTTTTTTTTTTGTCCCAAGGAGCACAAGTTGGGGCCAAAGGAGGGGGTGATAGCATAAAAAAAATACCTACTAAGAGAACTGGAGTCAACTTTCCTGTGTTCACATTTTAGCGGGACTGCTTGTTATTTCTGTGACATTGGCAAACCACATCATCTCCTGAAGTCTCCATTTTCTCATGTATTGCATGTTGGGACACAATAGTGTATACCTTACTGATGGCTGGGGTTATTGTGAGGGGTAAATAACATGTCACCTGCCAATCAAGTTGAATACATGTCTGGCACATTACATTCATCAGTTATTCTGTTACTGTGTTGGCATAGAACAGTGTTTTCATTCTAGCTCCCACATTTATTAATGTCCTCACTGAGAGCTGTGGTGAAATAAGCCCAGGAAACGCTAAATTAGAAAATATAGGACCAATACATCGACTGTTAAGTCTTCTGAGATTTTTTTTTTTAATTTGAAGAATGTATCATAAACTTTGGGGAGAGAAAAATATGTAAAAATTTCCAATGTTATGGGAAATCTCTAAATGTATGCTTGTATGCCAACAGAACTAACACTAAAAATGTCATGCTTTTTATCTGGACCCATCCTGTTGGAGGCCCCAGGTTGAGTCACCCTTTTAGTAGCTATTTCAAGATGCTATCATCAGGGTTACCTCCAAAATTATAGTACTTGATCTTATTTTCCATTAATTCAAACATCTCTGGCTGTCCTCCATGACTGCAGAATAAATTTGGAACTCTTTAACATGGCACTTGATGACTTTGATAGTCTGACTTTAAACTTTCCTTCTCACTTCTTTTCTGATCATACTAACGTCTTGAAAACACCAGGTGTCCATGGTTTCTCATACTACTTTCTATAAGTCTATAATGGATCCAAACAATTTCTCCACTGCCAATGCCTACTCTCAAGAAACAGCTCATGTATCCACACCTTGGGAAGCTTTTCTTGGGAGAAATCCCACAGAGTTGTCCATCTCTCTTTATGCCTTATTTGATTTTTCTTCACATAACTTATGACTGTCTGATCTAATTTAATTTAATAAGTAGAAATACATTTCCCAGGGCCATTTTCTTCTAAGATAGAACCTCTGAACTTCTACAACTTTGTTTTACTTAGATTCGCAGTTTCACTATAGCCATTTGTTAAAGAGAATTAGTATTGTACCTTGTATCTGAATCCATTTTTTCCTACTTCTGGTGAGTTCAGAGAAGGAATGGAATATGTCACATTCATCTATTTATTTTCACTGACTAAAAGGATGTCTGTCCCCTAATAGGTGCTCAGAAAATTGATTTTGAAACACTAGGAATACTGGGAAAAAAAATCAAAGCCTAGCCCTACTACTGTGGTTTAGAAGCTGTATTTCCATATATGAGAGAGAGAAAGCTACTATTACTGCTCTATTAAAACACATATCTGTCTCAAGGCAGGTGTTTACAGTTGTGCTTGCCTGCAGGTAGTGAATGCAAATTGTATCAGTTCCTCCTAAACTCAAAATGTATTTCTTAGTTTCTTGTCAGCAGAATTGGGACATTTATTGGCTACTTGAATAATGGGGACATTCTTAGCTTATATCTATCAGGAAAATGTGAACACAACCTATATGTGGGCATTCATAAACAATTTTTTTTATTTAACAAATGTTACTGATTAAAATATTCTCAAGTTGCAGGAAAAGTATGCTATTCAACTTGAAGCAATAAGTTATTTTTCTTATTATAGTAAATCTAAGTTTTACCTAATAAACCTTGCAGCACAGAAGAAAATTGATTTTCTTTTCTGAAAAAGCAACTAGATTTAAACTGTTTTCAAACTGACAGCACCTTCCAGAGCTTCCACCATAATCAGGAAGAATATGAAGATTGTTTGACTTAAGTGGAAGGGAAAAAATGAATTCTATCTAAAAGTCAAATGTAAAAATATTGAATAGACAGTTGACATGAACGCTAGAATTTGACTTCTTCTTAGTTCAAAGTCTTCCTCTAAACAGAAATAGAAAGAGATTGCTAGCGATCACGTATGTCCAGAAATTTTGGTAAGTGAAAATAATCCAGTGAAGGGAGAAAAAGGAAGCTGATATTAGATGCCTTGTATATTTATAAAGAATTGAAAGTTCATTTATTGCTTCAAGAATTCTTCGTTCTAAAAGACAAGCCAATCTGACCTGTTGATGCGACGAAGGCTTCATACAGATGAAATTAAGTGTTCTGAGAGCCATCTTAGAGCAGTGCTTCCCAACCTTTTTCATGTCAGAAAAAACAGAGAAAATGATAATTTTGTAGGGCACCAGGAGATGAACTGATGGGTGTGCTCTTGGTTGAAGGGAATGACCCTTTCAGTGATTTTCCATTATTGTCCCTGCTATTTGGCCACAATGACTCTCTTTCCCATTCCAGCTTCTGTGCCTTTGTACTTGTGGTCCCTTCTGCTTAGAAGGATGTTTCTCCAAACTTCACCCAGGCTTGTACCCAACCTCATTCATACCTCTGCTAAAACTCCATCTCTTCAGAAATATTTTCTCTGAATCCCTTCTTTCTTTTTTTTTTTATTATATTTTTTGAGACAGAGTCTTGCTCTGTCACCCAGGCTGGACTGCAGTGGTGTGATCTCGGCTCACTGCAACCTCTGCCTCCGGGATTCAAGCGATTCTCCTGTCTCAGCCTCCTAAGTAGCTGGGATTACAGGTACGTGCCACAATACCTGGCTAATTTTGTATTTTTAGTAAAGTCAGGGTTTCACCATGTTGGTCAGGCTGGTCTTGAACTCCTGACCTCGTGATCCACCTACCTCGGCCTCCCAAAGTGCTGGGATTACAGGCGTGAGCCACCGTGCCACGCCTGAATCCCCTTTCTAAAAAATAGATTTGTCCATCTCTCTTTATGCCTTATTTGATTTTTCTTCACATAACTTGTGACTGTCTGATCTAATTTAATTTTGCTCATCTCATCCAAGTGTGTCATAGGAATAAAGATTTCTGCCTTACTTGTTTATCACTTTTCCCCAGCACTTAGCAGAGTGAGTACAAATATTTACTTGTTGGAAATATGAAGGAATAACTGTTTCTTAGATCATAAGGTTTGCTCGTTCCCTTCCTTGGAACAAATGTGGACATTTTTGTTATCTTATGCATACAGTGTCAGCTGTGTGACCAATTGTAGTAATACATAAAAGTATTTGAACTTAGACACAACCTAGGGAGATGGAGAATTCCCTTTGAATTTTTGCAACAACACTGGTTTAACACATTTCACTCCCAACCATCTGAGTGTAAATTTGCCGCTAGAGTATAGGCGGTTTCAGTTCTATTAATGGGAGTGTAGATTTTTTTTGGACACATTGTCTTACAGATAAGAACTTTAAACTCACTGAGTCATCAAAAGCAGGCTGAAACTAGGGATTGACTCTTGAATGAAGTAAATCGTTGAGATCCATCTGTGTGGATTTATATATCCCAAGGGCAATCCTCACTGCATGAGGTACAAGCCTGCTAAAACTCAAACAGAAAACTCTACTGCTTAGTGGCTTGAGTGTCAGAGGAAGGAACTCAGGGCTCCCAGAAAGGCTAGAAATGGAAAGAGATGGAATCCAGGGACAACCTCTCAGCCGAAGAAGCTCTCACTTTGAGTTTGAACTCCTATCAAATACTTGACTGACCTCTAAGCTGAATACGAATAGGAAATATTCCAGAAAATCCCTAAAAGGCAGAACGCTAGAAGGCTGAGAAATCTAGGCAGGTACTTCAATTGCTAGGGCAGAGACTGGAATCCATTTGGTTAGAAGGGCAGAAGATGCATGCTGGATTTTCCATTAAAACCATAGAAGAGTCAGGCACTTTGAAATGAAGGTGCAGATCGCATATTAAAGAAAGCAAGCAGGCATACTCTGCACAATGAACATGAGAAGGCTGGTGTAGCTACATTGTATAAGATATTCAAAGTCAAGATTATTATAAAAACCTATGAAAGTCATCCCATAATGATAAAAAAGGTAAATTCATCAGGGAAACAGCAATCATAAATTCTTACGCAGTAATAGCAGATTTGCAAAATACGTGAAGCAAAACTAGATAGAATTAAAGGTAGAAAGAGACAAATCTATGACCTATTTGGAGATTCTAATACTCTTCTCTCAATCTAAATAAATGATTAAGCAAATAGAAATCAATAAAGATATAGAAACACATACAACCTTATAAAATAGTTTGAACTAATTATCATGTACAGAATTTTACACTCAACAACTTCAGAAAGCAGAATTTTTTCAGGTGCACGTGGAAAGGTCATAAAGATGTGTCACAACATGAGTCATGTGTCAATAAATTTCAAAAGTTGAAATTTACTACCTCGACAGGGTTAATTTAGAAGTCAACAATGGTAAAGTATCTAGGCAATTAACCCAAATTTTGAAAACTTGTCAACATACTTTTATATAATTATAGCTAAAAAACCACAAAATAGTACAAAAAACATTTTAAAGAGAATACAAATTTAACACATATCAAAATGTGTGGGATGCAGCTAAAGTGTTGCTTAGAAGGAAATTTATAGATTTAAATTGTTATAATTTTAAAAATTTTTAAAATCTATTAACAAGATTTTCCTTTTAATAATCAAAGAAGAAAAGTTAAATCCAAATACGTGGAAAGAGAAATAACATGTCCATTCCTTTTACATGTTCTTTGCCAGTCTTTACTCCAGTTGATATTTAACATTTTAAGTGGAAGAAATGCATATATCTCCAAAAATAGGATACAGAATTAGTTTTATTAAAAAAATCAGAAAATGTCACAGCCATATTGTTCATTTATGAACCAAAGGCATTATATTTACATTTTTTTAGTAAAGTTAATAAAATGTGTTTCTTGTTTAAAATACATAACAAAGTATGATTAGGAATCAGGCTTATTCTTTTCTCAGGAGTATTGGCTATAACACTGGTATCAAATATTTCATTATGCAAAGACTTTTTTCATAAATGCATTTAATAATAATGAAACAAAATCACATGTTCGCTTTTAGTTTGAAAGAAAACAATTTAAGCTTGACAATACTGATGCTCTTCTCCTTTGAGAAACTGCAAGACAGGGTTCTGTATTTTTCGGCCTGGTGGGCATTTCCAAATTCTGCCTCGTAACCATGGACCCTACCAGAAATAGCAAACAGTTCTTTGATACTAGAGATATGTGTCATGGCTTCAGAGTAGGTAGGAAAAGAAAGAGATGAATGCTAAGATTATTAAACATTCTCATTCTCCATTTTGAATTCAAGAAAACATGAGTTAATAAGAGGGAGAAAATATTCTCCATGATTCTATTTCATATTTTCCTGGATGTCTAAGCCATTCTTACTCTACTTTGTCATTTTATAGTAATACCATGACAAGTTGCAAAGGTGGCAATAGGTGTCAGAAATTCAAAAGCCTAGTGGTCATGTAGGTAACATAAATGAGTGAAAGCATCCAAGTGTAAATAACAGGGAATGGTGATGATGGTGACCTGTAGAACACTCATTTTCTACAGGGACAGAGGCCACCCAACTTGGCGCAGTGTTCCCAGAACTTCTGCTTTTTTATAAGAAGCAGAATATACACATTTCTATGCACAATTTTTTAAACTAAAGATTCAAAAACATTTTAGATGGTGTTTAAGCTAAAAAGAGCCCATCTTGTGAGCCAAAGTTATCAGTGGGACATCAGTTTACAACCTGTGAAATAGAAGTCCATTTCTCTATTATCTTACTTCCAGTGCATTAAATGGGGGATTGCTTATCACTTTCTTTTTTAACCACACTAATAATGACGACAAAAGACAAAGACACACAAATAACTAATCATACAACTAATGACTAGATCTTTTACTCAAATCTTCTGGTTCCCAAGAGAGTTCCCTTTTCTCTAGGCAGCTAACCTTCCAAAAAATGGTAGCCAACAAAAAGCAAGTTCAGGTTACAGAGTAAAGACAGAAAGCAAAGTTTTTCCCATGTCAGGTATTTTGCCTTTGGGTTCCATCTACCACTAGTCTTTCAGTGTCACTCCTTCTACTTATTCATTCTGCCCCAAACTTCACAGTTCAGAAATAAAAATGGTATACGAGGTTGCCCTAAGAGATAAGGCCCTCATGGTTATTGGACATCATTTGCATTTCAAAATGGAATACCAGGGACAATACTTAACAAAACTGGGTTGTATAACGTTGAAATTTAAGGCATCCATCTATAGGCCAGCTGGAAAGCTGGAGTTGACCGAGAGGTTTATTGGACCACCAAGAATTATGAGTGCTGTGTGTCTTTGATGGTTGCCATTGATTACATTCCATAGTGGGATGGAGTGATACTGAGAAATTTGAGACAGAGAAATTTTAAGAATTCTCCTAAAGGCACCATGCTCTTTCCTGTGGTGCAACATTTAAAACTAGAAGAAAACAGAGTCAATTGCAGACAGTATTACATAATGACTCATTCTTGTGGCAATTCTGAAACATCGTGGTACTGTAACCTTAACAAATAATGTAGTAGTAGCTCACCTATTTTTAGTTGTTCTAATTAGGTGGGTTTTCAGAAAATTTGGAGTATGTCATATGCCAGGAAAACTTGGTACCTAGCACAATTCACTAATAACAGTGGCTACTATAAAGATATGGAATTCTGCATTTACTACCTAACAGAAAATTTTAGTTTATAATGTCAGGGAAATTTCAGTGAAATTTAAAATAACTATAATAAAACATGTCTATTTTATTTTCTCTTCTTATTTGTAGCTATATATGGGTCACTAGATTGTGAGGGTCCTTCTTCCAGTACATATGCTGACGTGACTAACCATATGGTGTATTATAGCTGTCCAGCAAAGCACATCTGTCTCTGGGCTATGATAAATAGCCTTAAATCCCTCAAATAATCTCTCTTTTCAAAGGCTTTTAACAAAAGGTATCATAAGGTTGAAATGTGTCTTGAAATAATTGGCAAAATCTCACATCATCAAGTGTAGGTATATTCTCACCAGGATTCCTCCATTTATACAGATACAATCCAAAATGAATGTGACTGGGATTTTCCAGCATTGCTTAGAAATAATAATGGAGAGACATCAACGTCATGACTGAGAAGCATACACACTTACCTAGACCATATATATTTACATAATTGTCCTATTATTGCTCAAGCAAATAAATGTAACCAAGTACAAGACTAGGAAGGGTATGGAGAGTGCTAACTCACTCCTAAAAAAAAATAATAATAAGATGCAACGTGTCAATATATGTTTTCAGCAATTTAATCACCTACAGAAGCCATAATTGCTGCAGTAATTATTTTTTGAAGCTGACATTCTTGGCTTGATGAAAATATACAGCCACCAAGGACAAGCGTTTTTTTCTTCTACCAAGGGGATTGAAAAAAAAAAAAAAGAAAAAAAGAAAACACACACACAAACAAAGACTTTCTACCAGGAGAAATGTGACCCAGGCCAACAGCCTCAGAAGCAATTATTTGTCTATAATAATAAAGAAAATTGTCAACACAGAGGGGGCATAATACTCTTCTGTAGCTCTCTGAAATTCTTAACCTTAGCAGGGACTAGACCTAGAGACAAAATAAGAAAGTAATATCCTCTAAAACCCAAAGAGATAACCACAAAATGTGTTATGTATGAGTGAATTATGGGTCATTTTCCTTCTCTTTGATTTGTCTGCTTTTAATTCAAATGTTGAAAGGCAACTCTTTTCAATAATTGTTTCTCTAAGTTTAATGCAAGTCAGCCCAACTTACGAATTAACTAGAAAACAAATTTCAGGTACCCATACTCTGTCTGATATTTTGCTAAGTCCTGAGAAATACAGAAATATAAAATATGTCTCTTAAGTAGTTTGAAATCTAATTGGAAAGACAGAAAGCAAAAGACAGCACAGGAAAAAACGTAACATAAGAGTAACAGCTGAATTGAATGGTGCCAGAAATTTATTGCATGGGATGTGCCAATTATCAAAACAAAGTGTTGGACTACATTGCTATTCACTGTTCTAACATTTATTTGTTTTTGTACTCTGTGTTTTGGCACTGGATATGGCTTTACTGTTGGGGTAAAGATCTATCTGAAAGCATTTGTGTGAATAGTAGATTAACTGGATTGCCTGGGGAATGACGGCAAGTAGATTTTCTTCTTAATTTTTTTCACAGATTGTTATTTAAATAGGGAGGAAAAGCTTTTTTCCTTCCACATGATGCTGTTGAAAATATTTCATGAATGATTTCACTGTTTTTCTTCATAAAAACAATTTTCAGAAATCACAAAATGTAAGAATTCTAGAAAAGTCTTATAGTCCTAAAAATCACACATTAATATTACCAATCGTATGGAGAAAATGGGGTTGGCCAGACCATTTAAAATATAACCAGGCCAGTAACAAAAATAATAATAAAATTTATTTAAAATATCTCACTTAAAAAATTAAACTTCTAAAATATTTAAAGAAATGATGTTCTGAATAAAGCAATTTACATTCAAAATAAAGTGTGATGTAGGTAATTTGATAAAAAGGGATGTAGAAAAATGTTGAAGATGCTAGGAATACACAAATATTGAGGAAAAGCTCATCTAAGCCAGTGTACATTGCCAAACTGTGCCAAGAGAAACTATAGGCCTGTGGACAGTATTCAATTCCTCTGTTCCTTATTTCATTCGGCTTTGCCAATATACTTTGCACTCAGCTGCTGTTACTTTGTGGTAAAAATCAATAACTTGCTGGAAAAATTGCAACTTCTACATTTAGATGACAGCATTCCCTATTTACCAATCATTTATGAGCTAATTTACATTACAGAAACACATTGTAGCAGAACAACTTCAATTGCTTAAAAAAACCTTTTATATCATTGATCACCTTTGGATTATTAAAGGGATATTTTCGCTTTACATAATGACATTAGGATATTAGTATTCACAAAAAAAATTGTCCTAATAGGCTTTCACAAACTACTGGAGAAAAAATATACTAAAATGGATACTTATGGCACAAGGTAAATGTTAACATTGAGATATAAACAAAATAAAACTTCTAGGCTCTTGAACATAATATTCTCTTTCTGGCTCAATGCCTTTGTCTATGATGCATTTACTCCCTGTGCCAGGCTAGTAATTTTTTAAATTGTTAATGGCAATGTTTAGAATTTATCCCCCAAAAGTTCATGTATTGGAAACTTAATTGCCATTTTAACAGTATTAAGGGGTGGGGCTTTTAAGAGATCATTGGACCATGAGAGTTCCACCCTCATGAGTGGATTAATGTTGTTATTGAGGGAGTAGGTTAATTATCATGGGGGTGAGCTTCTTGTAAGTTCAGCCTCCTTCTTCTCTGTCTCACACATGCACTTCCTCACCATGTGATGCCTTCTGCTGTGGGATGGCCCATGTCAGATGATGGTGCCATGTTCTTGGACTTTCCAGCCTCCACAACTATGAGCCAAATAGAATTCTGTTCTTTATAAATTATCCAGTCTGGATATTCTGCTATAGCAGCAGAAAATAAATTAAGATATATATATTTAAGGTGTATAACTTGATGACTTGATATATGTATATATCATATAAGAACAATGAAGAATCTCCTCCTCTATGAAGCTTACCTCAATTACTCATGGGAAGACTACTTGTGTCTTTGGCCAACCACTGTACCTTGTACATATCACTTTTGATGTATGTTAAAATGAGAACGATTACAATAAATCAAATACATATTTTGCTCACAAAATTTAGGTGCATAGTTGTAAGTGTTCAATAAGAATTTATTGAATAAACAAGGTTGCATGTATCTCTGCCTAGGAGATTTTGGGGTGGGAAAAAAAGTAAATAATTGTGTTGCTCTGTAGAATGAATTCAGGGGTTTAAGTATGTGCAAGTGATTATTACAGGTGGTTGGGACCATTAAAGCAAAAGCCACAGTGACATTAATTTTGGTAATATAAGTTGTAGTAAAGTTAAGCTTTGGGGGCCAAAATGCCTACAATACAAGTTATCAGTGTAATGGCTAAATTTCTATGGCAAAGGCAAAGGATTTTCTCATCAGATCAATTTTATGGCAGGATTCGTGGCACTGCTTTTAAAAGTTCAGTTTCAAATGAAGTCTCTTTTTTTTTCTAGAAATTCTTTGAAACAGGCTTATTTTAATAAACTGAGTAATCAGCCAGAGTGGACTTCTGCTGCTTGCAACTAAGAGACTTAAATAAGGGATCAGCATGGAGATTTTTATTAATAGTGTAGTTGTTTGAACAGTGGAAATTTATTTTATAGACATCAATTTATAGCATTTAAATAACTTAACCAAGACATATCATCCACTTCTTATTTGGTTTCCATAACATATACAGTTTAAGAGAACCCAAATTAACTGAATGGCTTACATGTGATGGTTTTTCCAGCATAATCTCTGTAATTAATTTTATGGAAACTATGAAAAACAAAGATCAGTTCACTACTTTGAACTGTCTTCCTATAACTATAATGAAAAAAATTGGGGTTGCAATAATTACAAAACATAAAATAACACAAATAAAACAATGCTCTTTCTACCTGAAATGTCCTTTCTGTTCTAATTTACCAGGCTTATCTCAGTCACCTTTCCAGATATCACTCGCATAATTACCAATTCTGGGGTGCCCTCTTAAGATCCATTGAAAGATAATTTTAAAAATACTCTTTTTTGGCCTTCATTATTCTATAATACTTGAACTAAAAATGACTTGCCCTGGCAATTGCTAATTTATACACCCAAGTTAAACTATTAGTTTCTAAAGAACATGATTTATTCATCTTTTTGTCTTGAGTACTTCTTAGAGTTCCTGGAACACTGTAGGAGCTCAATATGTTTTGAAGAAATTGAGTGAATAAATGAATGAATGAATGAAGCCAATATTTTGAAAGCAATAAACATAAGAAAATCAAACTGACATTGGAATATAACTACAAATTAAATTTAATTCAATGTGGAAATAAAAATAAATATCATATGACTGTTTGTACATACTGAAATGCTCTGACGATAAAACTAGGGTAGCTCAGAAGATAAAAAGTTGTGCAACAGATAAAAACAGAGTCAACAGTTTGAAACAGAAAGCATAGGGGAAAACTGCCAAAGATTTTAAGATGTAGGAGAAGATGAAACTTTTCATAAGACCTCAAACCAGCCTGTCCTAAGTTTGTCAAGTAATGGACTTGGTGAGAAACTTTCACACTTAAGAGAGTTGGAGGCCGGGTGCGTTGGTTCACGCCTGTAATCCCAGCACTTCGGGAGGCCCAGTTGGACGGATCACGAGGTCAGGAGATCAAGATCATCCTGGCTAACACGGTGAAACCTCGTCTCTACTAAAAATTCCAAAAACTGGCCGGGCGCGGTGGCTCACGCCTGTAATCCCAGCACTTTGGGAGGCCGAGGCGGGCGGATCACGAGGTCAGGAGATCGAGACCATCCTGGCTAAAACGGTGAAACCCCGTCTCTACTGAAAATACAAAAAATTAGCCGGGCGTAGTGGCGGGCGCCTGTAGTCCCAGCTACTTGGGAGGCTGAGGCAGGAGAATGGCGTGAACCCGGGAGGCGGAGCTTGCAGTGAGCCGAGATCCCGCCACTGCACTCCAGCCTGGGCGACAGAGAGAGACTCCGTCTCAAAAAAAAAAAAAAAAAAATTCCAAAAACTAGCCGGGCGTGGTGGCGGGCGCCTGTAGTGCCAGCTACTCGGGATGCTGAGGCAGGAGAACGGCGTGAACCCGGGAGGCGGAGCTTGCAGTGAGCCAAGATAGCGCCACTGCACTCCAGCCTGGGCGACAGAGCCAGACTCCGTCTCAAAACAAAAAAAAAGAGAGAGTTGGAAGCAAAACAGTGTTACTCTTTCCAACTACTTCATTTGCAAGATGAGGAGTCGGAGTTCAGGGAATTTAACTAACATTTATTATTGAGGAGTAGGGAAACCAAGCAGAGGATCGCAGTTAGAATTGGGGTAACCAGAGCTGGGTTCTCCATCACAAAACACTAAACAGTCTTTTGAGGCTATTCTCTGCAACTTGGCTTTTGTTGTTGTTGGGGTTTTGTTTTTGGTCCCTGCTACTCTGCAATCCTAAGGGGCAACGATTGCTGTGGAGAGCTGGCACAGTTAGCAACAGAACCCAGATTTATCATGTTCCCAGTCCAGTATTCCAACTTAGTATAGTGGTTAGAGTACTAGCTTTAAAGTGGCATCAGCTTGTGTTACATTTCTCCCATCACAACCTACAGTTGTGTGGTCATGGACAAATTCCTCAATAACTGTGAATCTTATAATTGGTAAAATGGGAGTAATAAAAGTGCTCTATTCCTACTGTTGTCATAAGGAGTAAATGGGAGTTTTCTGCCATGATAACGATTGTTCTTTCTCTCTCTCTCTCTCTCTCTCTCTCTCTCTCTGTTTTTTTCCAGCTACCTTCTTGCCATTGCTGTTAGATGGATGGTTTCAAGGAACACTATTACATGAGTATTCTTCATAAGTCTTTCTTATAATCTTCTTCACACATTCCTTTCCCTATCAGATTTGTGATCAGTCCTACCTCAAACTTAATCTCCTTCAAAACCTCAGCCAACTTTCAAGAAACGTATTAGAGAAAATTATCTCCTGAGGTCCCATTGTTCCCTTCCCAGGCAGGGCTTGTCAGAAGAAAACTTCTTTGTGCAAATATATAAACAGCTTTCTCCAGGCCAACAGAGCCCCAGATGTGGAAGTAGAGTGGGTTGGACTGCAGTCCCCACTGGCTACAATCAAACATGGCAGGCCAGATCTGTTCAGTATTAGTCCTGGATCCAAAACCTATACATCTAGATGTGTTTCAGAATTCAGAATTATTTAGATTTTGGAAAGGTAATTTGGCATGTATGTGTGTATATTTAATAATACACTGATGGAGTCAGGGATAGTATGCCATAATCGAACATTATTATCTTCATAGCAAATGTATGAATAGTAACATAAAAGAAGAATAAAAACTACAAATAGCCTCATGTCAGATCCAGGTTTGCCTCTAAGTGTGAGTTCTGGTTGGCTTAAGTTCTCCCTGAACATAAAGATATATATATCTCCTCTAATTAATCTCCAAGTTCTGTGAAAATAAGACTTGCGATTCATTCACCTTTGTATTCCCTCTAGCATCTATTGCTGAACCTTCAAATAGTAGGTGCATAATACATCTGTTGAATTGAATACACAAACATACACACATAAACACATATATCAAGATGAATAATATATTAAAAACAAGAGAAGACAGATATCTAAATATTAACTATCACAAACTAGCAAATAAGTCAAAACATTTGTGTCTATTTTCTCCCTTTGCCTGCCATATCCCTAGGAAGCATGCAAGTAGTTTAGTAAATGAAATCTGCCTTTGTTACTTTTCCTTAGCAGAAATGCACATGCTAGGAGCAGAAGCCAGTGTGTATTATTTCATTGCTTCATTATTCTAATGAAAAAGATAAGACTTTCAGGCATTTGTCACTGAATCACAGACACTGAAGTGTTATACTCAGTTTTTTTTTCTCTTTTAATGTTTGTATCTGTGCATATAACTAAGAACAAAGAACGATTATTTCAGGCAAACTGAACTAAACCTAGTTAGCCCAAACTTAATTTACATATGTTGATATTTAATCTGTAATACACAGAATGTGCTTTATATAAGAAATAGATAACGTTAAACTAGAACTCATATTTTATGTGTGGGAGAGAGTATCCTGTTTTTCAATATCTATGAATTATATAAATCTATATGCCTTTCTTTCTCCAGGGATAGCAAAATACCCTTTCTTGTTAGTCCTTGAAGATGAACCATTACTATATAAAAAATAAAAGGGCAGCTTTTCAGAAGTAGATAGAAACTTTCACATGGTGGTAAAATCAAAAGCCCCCTATATTTAGTTAACAGTAAAACTGTGTATGCCTATTGTTATTCATTTGCATGATATACAAATAGAGATGTATAGCCTTAAAACTCAACTTCTATCCTGAATTCACAATAGAAAGTTGTCTTATTCCAAATAAGTTTTTAACTTAGGGGAAGTTAGTGGTAAAATAAAGGGATACATATGAATAATAATATGTGTTTATGCCCCATGGTAAAATTATACTGAAGAGCACATTGGAATGATATCAACTACTAATTAAACATTATTTAAGACAATTTCTTGAAACTCCTTTACATATTAATTGTTCTAGCTTTTTTACTGCATAGTATATAAGATTATAGTTCACTGAATAACATCTTATATACCTGGTGATTTAATCTGAATATCTGTCCACTCCAAATCCCATGTTGAAATTTGATCACCAGTGTTGGAGGTGGGGCCAGGTAGGAGGTGTTTGGGTAATGGAGGTGGATTCTTCATGGACTGATTGGTGCCTTCATTACAGTAATGCGTGTTTTTTACTCTGTCAGTTCCTGCAAGGTCTGGTTATTAAAAAGAGTCTGGCACTTACCTCCTCTCTCTCTTCTTATCTCTCTTGCCATGTGATGCTTTCTCCCCTTTACCTTCTGCCATGAGTGGAAGCTTCCTGAGGCCCTCACTAGAAGTAGATGCTGATGCCATTCTTTTTGTACAGCCTGAAGAACTGTGAGCCAAATAAACTTCTTTTCTTTATAATTACCCAGCCTTAGGTACTTCTTTATAGCAACACCAACAGACTAAGACAAAAACGTTGATACTGAGGAATGGGTTGTTCCTATAAAGATATTTTAAAAGGTGGAAGTGGCTTTGGTAGTGGGTAATAGGCAGAGATTGGAAGAGTTTGGAGGGCTCAGAAGAAGACAAGAAGAGAAGGGAAAGTTTGAACTTCTTCAAGACTGATTAAGTGGTTGTGACCAAAATGCTAATTGAAATATGGACAGTAAAGACCATGCTGAGGAGGTCTCAGAATGGAAGTGAGGAACTGGTTTGGAACTGGAGCAAAGGTCACCCATTTTTAGCCCTTGCAAAGAACTTGGCTGCACTGTGTCCATACCCTAGGGCTTTGTGGAAGGTAGAACTTAAGAGTGGTGGCCTAGGGTATTTGGCAGAAGAGATTTCTGAGCAGCAAAGCATTCAAGAAGTGTCATGGTGGCTTCCGTTAGCCTACAATCACATATGGGAGCAAAGAAATGACCTAAAGTTGGAACTTCAAATTAAAAGGGAAGCAGAGCATAAAACTTTTGGAAAAT
The DNA here is from genome assembly GCF_000001405.40 of Homo sapiens. Classification (NCBI taxonomy): domain Eukaryota; kingdom Metazoa; phylum Chordata; class Mammalia; order Primates; family Hominidae; genus Homo; species Homo sapiens. The sequence goes on along the minus strand of NC_000005.10, from coordinate 166,038,980 downwards.
TCACAGCCTGGCCATGTGGTAGAGGCAAAAATGTGTGTTTTCAGGTGAAGAATCCAGGCAGACTTCTAGTAACTACTTGCTAGAAAGGTTAATGAGGATAGAAGAGAGCCAGGTGCTAATAGGGAGAAGGTACCAAAGAAGGCATCAAAACAATAGGGAAAAGGTACCAAAGGCATTTCAGAGACCTTCAAGGCAGCCCCTCCCATCACAGGCTCAGAGGCTTGAGAGGACAGAATGGTTTCTGGGGCCAGAACTAGGGTGCCTGCAGCTTCCTTGCACCATCTCTGGAACTGCTTCTTGAATCCTGGCTTCTCAGGCTCCATCCTTGCTTCAAAGGACCCCAAGTCTGGCTGAGGCCACCTCTCTGGAGAGCACAAGTCATAAGCCTTCATGGCTTTCATATGGTGTTAAGTCTGCAGACATGCAGAATGCAAGAGTGAAGGAGGCTTGACAGTTTCACTTACATTTCGGAGGATGTATTGGAAAGCCTGGGTGCCTAGGCAAAAGCCTGCCATGGGGTGAAGCTGCTGCAGAGAACCTTGACTAAGGCTGGGCTGAGAGGGTATGTAGAGATGGAGTCCCCAGAGAGAGTATCCATTGGGGCACTGCCTAGTGGAGCTGTGGAAGGAGGGCCACCACCATCCAGACCCCAGAATGGTAGAGCCACTGACAGTGTGTACCCTTAGCCTGGAAAAATCACAGACATTTGATTCAAGTGGTGAGAGAAGCCATATGGGGCTTCAGCCAGCAAAGCCTTTGGGAGAGGGCTTCCTGAGGCTTTGGTGGTCTACCTCTTTTACCAGTGCACCCAGGAAGTGGGATATAGAGTCAAATTAAATTATTTGGGAGCTTTAAGATTTAATGCCTGCCCTGATGCATTTCAGACTTGCCCAGGGACTGTTACTCCCCTCTTCTTGCCAGTTTTTCCCTTTTGGAATGGGATGTTTATGCAAAGCCTGTACACCACTGTATTTTGGAGGTAAATAACTCATTTTTGATTTTACAGACTCAAGCTGTAGATCTTTCCTTGACTGTTAAGTGAGACTTTGGAGTTTTGGGTTGGTGCTGGAAGTTAAGACTTTTGGGGATTATAAAGAAGGAATGATTGTATATTATAATGTGAGAAAGACACGAGATTTGGGGATCCAAGGGTAGAATAATATAGTTTGGAGTATTTGTCACCTCCCATCTCCTACTGAAATTTTATCCCCAGTGTTAGAGATGGAGCCTGGTGGGAAGTGTTTTGTTCATGGGGGCAGGTGCCTCATGAAAGGCTTGGTGCCTTCCTTGCAGTAGTGAGAGTTCTTGCTCTGTTATTTCCTGCTATATCTGACTATTAAAAAGAACCTGGCACCTCCGTCTCCTCTCTCCTTTACTTTCTCACCATGTGATACCTGCTCCCTTTCACCTTCTGCCATAACTGGAAGCTTCCTGAGATCCTCACCAGAAGCAGACGTTAATACCATGCTTCCTATACAGTCTGCAGAACCATAAGCCAAATAAATCTTTTTAAAATAATTTACTTCAGTATTCCTTTATAGTAACACGAATGGACTAAGACACCTGAGGATAGAATCAATCATGAATTATTTAGTAGAAAAGATAACCAAAAGCAGATTTGCGTTAGTCTGTGTGCCTCTGAAAGTGTCTGAGACAACACTTTGGGTTCTCCTAGTTTATCTGAGAGGTGGTCCCAGCAGTCAGAGGGAGGGAGGGGCAGGGGAAAACCCTACAGTTGATGTTACTGAGCTAGACACCCTGGTGGAAAAATGGAGCTCAATCCCACTGAAAACTCTCGGAAATACATGTAGATTACATGAACTTTCCACCAAAGGATGGAAAGCTGGATCGTTTCTTCACTAATTTATTTATTCTGTTCATTGAAGAGTCCTTATAGGGCATTCACTTCCTTGTGTTTGTGCTATATCTGCAATTGAGTTGATCAAGAGACAAGAAAAGACTGCTATGTAGGTCAAGACTATCGGTTGTTTAAAAGAATGGGCTTCATAATCTATTGATGGTGTTTCTGGAGCATGAAATCTAAGGTTTGGGCCTCTTCACTCACAAATATATGGTTGATTCCTTCTATTGTTATAACTTATATAAATTATTTTTCAGGAACGGAATGGCTACCATGCTTTGGATACACACACAGGTGTATACAGCCGTCCCTTTTATCCTCGGTTTCTCTTTCACGAGTTTCAGTTACCTGTGGTCAATAGTGGTCTGAAAATAGGTAAGTACAATACAATAAGATATTTTGAGAGAAACAGACCATATTGACATAACTTTTATTGCAGTACGGTTGGCCCTCCAGATCTATGGATTCTGCACCCATGGATTCAATCAGCCTCAGGTCAAAAATATTCAGAAAAAAAGGATGATTGCATCCGCACCGAACACGTATAGACATTTTGTGTTATTATTCCCTGAACAATACAGTATAACTGTTTACATAGCCTTAACATTGTATTAGGTATTATAAGTAATCTAGAGCTAATTTAAAGTACATGGTAAGATGTACATAGGTTATATGTAAATACCACATCATTTTATAAAAGTGACTTGAGTATACAGAGATTTTGATATCTGTGGAGGGTCCTGGAACCAAATTCCCACAGGTACTAAGAGACGATTGTATCTTGTTAGAGTTGTGCTATTTTATTATTAGTTATTACTGTTAGTCTCTCACTATGCATAATTCATATATTAAACTTTATCATAGGTGTGGACAGGAGAAAACAGTTTATAGAGAGATCAGTTTTATCTGTAGTTTCAGGCATCCCCTGGAGGTCTTGGAACATATTCCCCAAGGATAAGCAGTGGGTGACTAATGTATAAACAGTGATGCATTGTTTAATGGAAATATATGTCATTGGATGTGAGAAATATGTCATTGGATGATTTTGTTGTCATGTGAATATCATAGCGTGTACTCACCCAAACCTAGATGGTATAGCCTATTGCTCCTAGGCTACAAACCTGTATAGCATGTTACTGTACTACTATAGACAACTATAACAAAATGGTAAGTATTTGTGTATCTAAACATAACTAAACATAGAAAGACTACAGTAAAAATACGGTATTGTAATCTTATGGGACTACCATCACACATGAGGTACATGCAGTCTGTTGTTGATTGGAACGCTGTTATGTAGCACATGACTGTATACACACACACGATCTATGTACATACATACACACATGCATATTCTTACAAATATATGCGTGTACTTTTTGACATCACTGTTGAAGCACAGAGGAAGCTCCCCTCTCACCACTTCAAATGAAAGTAGAAAGGTCTAAGCTGATGACATAACTGAGGGCTCATGCACCCACTCACAGCAGCAATGATGCATTTGTGCTCAAATAGCCTGAGAACTAAAGAACCTCTGTTGACACACCCCACCCATGACCCAAAATGAACTGCGGAAAAAAAAAAAAAAAGATATCTCACTAGCAAAAGACTAAGAGTCCAATAAGGGCAATAGAGAACAAATATTAAATATTAAGCAGAAAATGAAAGATGGATTTGCTTGATAATCAGCTTGACTGATGTCTAGCAAGGAAAAGACAGACAGCCCGAACCTTTAGAAAATAATTACTTATGAGGGGAAGCCACTAAATAGTTTAAAGGACACAAGCCTCATGATTAGATTTGAATTTCAGAAAGATCACTTAAGTTAGTTTAAGTAGAATGCTCTAGAAACATGTGAGGCTTAGGCAGGAAGAAGAAAGGAGAGGCTGGTGCAGAAATGCAGGCAAGAAGGCTAAAGACCAGGTGCAGGCAGTGGGAGTATTATGGAGGCAGAGGGAGGTTTCAGGACTATTAAAGGAATATAGTAGGAAAACTTGGTGACTGACCGAATGTTATGAATAAGGGAAACATAGGCCTGTCCGGAGCTTCCTGGTTTCAGCTACATTCAAATCCAAGATTTCCAACCTGGTATATACCTTTTTCTTTTTTCTTTATTGAGATGGAGCCTCACTCTGTTGCCCAGGCTGGAGTGCAGTGGCACGATCTTGGCTCACTGCAACCTCCACCTCCCAGGTTCAAGCGCTTCTCCTCCTCAGCCTCCTGAGTAGCTGAGATTACACACACTCACCACCACCACGCCCAGCTAATTTTTTATTTTTAGTAGACATGGGGTTTCACCATGCTGGGCAGACTGGTCTCCAACCCCTGACCTCAAGTGATCCACCCTCCTCAGCCTCCCAGAGTTCTGGGATTATAGGCTTGAGCCACGGTGCCCAGCTGGAACCTGGTATACTTACTATAGCAAGCCTTACTGTCCAATTTTCAAAACAAAAGAAATGAATGCAATTTCTTCTTTCAAAATTGCTTATTTGCTTTATGTTTTCTGCTTATTTAAAAAAAAATCTAAAGGAGACTCACAGGTAGCCTTGTTCTAATTACCCTAATTCACTTGATATTTTGATAGAGTAATATGCTTGAATTTATTTCCTTGTAATGGATTGACTTGTCTAGCCAGCCAATAAATGCAGCACTGGGATTCTGTATATTTCTCCCAGTATTATATTATAGCAACTGACAATAATAACAGTAATAATTATCCAATTTCGAGATGGAGAAGTACCTTTGACCTCCATTTGATCCCCCTGGTCTATCTAAGTCTGATTCAGCATTGATTTCTTTCCCAAGGAAGTTGCTATAATCATGTTATGGCTGATTTATCACAATATGCTTGCTGGCTAGTGATTTCTCATCTTGAACTTGCTTCTTTCATTTTTCCCTCTACTAAAAGACATATTGAAATATTTTCTTCAAAGCAAGCAGAATTCCCCATGTGTTCGTCCACATTTTTCTTGGTGGGTGGTGTAAAGTGACCTATTGTCTCCGAGAACCATCCTAATTGCATTTTCTGTGTTCGGAGGGCAAAAATTAAAAGTAAATAAAATAAATAAAGCATGCTACAGGAAATTCAATTTAAATTGCAAATATGGTAATAGGAAAATAACATATGCTCAGAAATGACTAGGCTTAGATTCTAGATTTTTCTACTAATTATTTTTGTGATAGGAGCAATTCAATCTTTTTGAGTTTTGGTATTTTTCCTTATAAATTATGTCTAGTTGAACTCTGTCCTGCACTCAGAAATGTTACAGTTAATAATTTTAAGCACACCTAAAAGTTGTGGGTATGGTGTGGTAGCCCACACCTGTAATCACAGCACATTGAGAGGTTGAAGCAGGTGGATCACCTGAGGTCGGGAGCTCGAGACCAGCCTAGCCAACATGGAGAAACCCCGTCTCTACTAAAAATACAAAAATTAGCCAGACCTGGTAGCAGGCACCTGTAGTCCAAGCTACTAGGGAGGCTGAGGTGGGAGAATCACTTGAACCTGCGAGGCGGAGGTTTCAGTGAGCTGACATCATGCCACTGCACTCCAGCCCGGGCAGCAAGAGTGAGACTTGGTCTCAAAAAAAAAAAAAAAAAGTTGTGATAACAAATGTAATGGGAAAATCACTGTAACAGTATAGGGTTATCAGTAAGGACTGATTTATCATTCAGAAGGAGTGCAAGTGTCACTGCTGGTGGACTTTAAACTGATATTCTGAGAGGAATTTGTAAATTAAAAAACCTCCAAAATTATCTAGTACCACACTTTTGACTTTACAGATGGCAAAACTGAGACTCAGAGAGAAGTAATGTGACCCAAGCTGCATAGTTCATTAGTCCCCCTTTCAGGGGACTTCAAGTCAAGTCTTGTAATTCCTAATCCAAGCCCTTATAATATATAATATTTCATCTAAATAATTAGCGGTTGTTGAAACACAGTCACTAGCAAGGAGATTAATCATGAGAGGTCAATTATGCTATGCAAACAACCGTCAAATCTTGCTGGTTGAAAACAACATTTTCTTTCTTTCATTCACGCTTTGCATCTTGTGGGTTGCTGGGAGCTCTATTCTGGACCGTTGTCACTTTAGGCCCCAGGCTGACAAAACAGCCCGAATCTAGATTTTTGCCAATCACCATGGGAAAGAGTTTGTTTGTTTGTTTGTTTATTTATTTATTTATTGTTAAGCAAAGTACAGTGTGGGTTCTTAAAACTTCCTCCTCCAAGGGACAAGTCACCTTGAGTCATATTTCAATGGCCAAATAAGTCACATGGCCACACCTGACTCCAAAGGGGATGAGCAAGTTAAATCCTACCAGGTGTCCAGAGAGCGTGACATAGACAAGTGAGTACAAGTAATGAATACCACAGCATGTTTAGCAGGTAGAACAGAGAAGGAACATGAATATTTAAGTCTGTTCCCTAAAATATGTAGAGAATTTAGGGAATGTTCTGAGTAAAATTTATAGTGCCCAATTCCCTTACAATTTGTCTCAGAATCTCTACATGAATCAAACCTCCAGGGACAACAAGGTGTGTAGCTTCAAAAATTTAGCAGACTCAATGTCTAAAACAGACTTCACATACCAGGGACCTGCTGGCCAGATTCAGTCAGTGAATGGGTTACGTAGCACACAGTATTTGTAAAAGGATTAAATTAGCTGCTGATATTTTTTAAGTGGCGTTTTCACATACAGTAATTGGCTTTTGGTTTTCTTGAACTCATCATATCTGGTTGGACCTGACAATCATTCCTCCATGGCAAAAGTTGCTTAAAGTGACTAACATTATCCTTTGTAGTTACATCAAGAGCTTTCTCATTTGTCACGGTCCTTACAACTCACTCTTTTCTTAGATCTGGAGTGTGTTACTTATTTAATAAAGTGAGCTATCAGAAGCTGCTACCTGTGTGCCAACATGTACTGTCCCTTCTTTGGGCTAAAAGCTAGCTATATTTCTCAGCTTTCTTTGCCCTTGGGCCATATGACTCAATCCTCTCCAGTGGAATGTGAGGGGAAGTGATGTGAACTGCTTTTAGACCTGGGTTATGCACATCTTCAAATTCTGTGCCTGAGATGTCACTGAACACCTACTCTGGACAGTTATATGCACAAAAATGTAAAAGCATCAATCGTGTTATGCTGTTGAGGTCTATTTTTTACAATGGCATTTAGTTAGCCTACTTAGGCTAATAGCTGAGTCAGGCAGGCATTTGGGCCTGTGCTCATAATAAACCATTCAGGTGATTTTTGGATATATATGTTTTTGAACATTTTCAGGGACCAAATCATTACAACCTCCTTTAGCTGGGGAAGAGGGGCAGGAGTGAGAAGTTCCAGGCATAGAGAAAAGTAAAAGAAGCAAAATAGAGATATGGGGCCACAAACCTGGAGGGTTTGAGAAAGACTAATTGATTCAGCTTGGCTGCATTTTCAGAAGAGGAGTAGAAGTAAATGCATAATTTTAAAGGAATGAGAATCCCAAGCTAAGAGAATTTAGAGTAGACTATGGAGAAAGAATCAGTGAATCTGGGGGGAATGAGGGGGATAAGAGTGATAGGATACTTCATTTGTTTTAGGGGCCACTAATTTAGCATCACTGTAGACTGTAAGTAGGTGAGTCTGGAGAAAGCAGGACACTCAAGAAGTACTACAGGCCTGCAATTAAGAGAAAGTAGCAGCTACCATTTATTGAGTGCTTTATAAGACTTGGGCCCTAGGCAGATTACCTTCTATGCATTATTTCAATTAATGAAAGTAGTACTATAAAATATCTATTTTATGCACAAGAAAGTTTTAAAATGCTAATTAACTTAGCCCAAATCATGTGGGTGTACATATATACCATAGATCCACCATTCTATCTATCTATCTATCTATCTATCTATCTATCTACCTATTGATCATAGTATTTCAATGAAGTTTAAATTAATGGTAAATCCAAATCATGTGTGTGTATATATATTCTAGATCCACCATTCCATCTAGACAGACAGAGAGATAGATCCACCATTCCATCTAGACAGACAGATAGATAAATGGATGGAATGGTGGATCTAGGGTTTGAATTCAGATAAATCTTTCCTCAAAGTTCTTCCTAATTAACTACTACATTATGTTTTATGACACAGTCTAAACTTAGGTAGTAGTGACAAAGGAGCAGACATAAGGGAGAGAAAGAGACGCAGCTGGATTTACCATTAATTTAAACTTCGTTGAGATACTGCTAAGCATAAAAAACTGTGCTCAAAATGTAAAACATGGTTCTTGATTACCAAAAAAATGTAGAGTCCAGTGGCAGGAGCTTTGAGCCAGAGTCAACCCAGACAGTGGTCAGGCCATCACAACATTACTGTGCTCCCTTCCAGAAAAAAGGGCATCATGGTAACTGGTCTTCAAAGGTGACCCCTAAAGAACTACGCCTCCTGGTATTTATGTTTTCATGAAATTCCCACACACATTGAATTTGAGCTGGCCTGGGTGTAGGTTTATCCAACCTCATATGGCAGAATGGAAGCCTTGCTGATAAGCACCTGCCTAGTCTTTAGGAAGACTGGCAATGTCCGTTTCCTTCCTCCAGGAAAGCTGACTTTTGGGAGGGCTGCCACATAAGAAGTTTGGCTACACCGCTGGAGATTCTACATGGAGGGACCACACAGAAAGACCGCATGGAAAAGAGAAGCGTTCCGATGGCAAGATGATGAAGAGAGGTTCAGTCTTCCCAGAGTCTAAGTTGAGTCTCCTTATGAATTTGGCAACTTTGTGAAAATTCCCAAGTAAGATCAGCAGAACTAATTGATCCCTGACAACTCAGAATGAGGAGAGGTAACAAATGTGGTTCATGGTGGTTGTTTGAAGCTTTTAAGATTTGGGGAATTTTGTTACACAGCAATTGATAACTGAAAGAGAGATGTTACAAATTTGTGAGATACTGGAAAAGGGTAAAAGGAATTTACTTGAACTACAGGAATTATATGGCTAAAATAACAACAATGCGCATTATAATATTATCAGGCATGTTTTATTCAAATCCTTGATTGCAACTGAACATTCTTATTGCATCGTGTGTTACTCTGAATTCAGATATACAAAAAACATGCCATGTAGCACTAGAAACAAGAATATCACATCATTCCTGTTATAGCAACATGCATTGGCTCCTAATCCAATGCACTGAGCCCATACGGAGGGTTAAAAACTGTTCCCCCAAACCAATGCTATAAAAAAACTTCCCTGATTTATGCATTTCATCTACTCTAATTATCATCATAGTTAGAAATGCCATTCCTTCACGTATAATGAAATAGTCTGTTCAGACAGCTGTCCAGTTACTTCAAATTCCAGTCATCCATCATCTAAATCTGTACAGAGTGGCATGTGTTATTAACCCGTTGCTTAAAGGCTACCTGGTTTTGTGACTTCAAACTATAATTGCTGGTCAGAGGACATTACTACACTGAGTTCTCATTTCTCTGCCTAAAATAAATGAACTGTATGTGGAAAAAAGGCGTCAATTCAATCCTTTCCCACCACTTATAAGATGCAAATGAGTTGTGTTGCAGGTAAGGCAATTTCTTTTACGGAGTTGACATGTAATAAATATCTGTGGAGTGAACACATGATCTCCATGATCCACTGCATAATGATTTTGAGATAAAATGAAGGGTTAATTATGAGTCCTAGCTAAATGAAGAGAAACTGACTTGGGCAAGGCAATAATGCATTGTTCTGAGGGAAAAGGAATATGATTGTCTAATTTGATGGCATTAGAAAGAACGGGGCATGCCTCTTTTTCAGCTGGAACCATGGAGGTTATAGAAGAGAAGAAGAAGTTTCCTGCTGTGCCAGAAACCCTTAAGAAAAAGCGAAAGAATTTTGCAGAGCTGAAGGTCAAGTGCCTGAGAAAGAAGTTTGCCCAAAAGATGCTTTGAAAGGTGAGGAGGAAGCTTACCTAGGAAAAAGCCATGCACTATTCCAAGGAATATAGGCAGATGTACAGAACTGAAATTCGAATGACAAGGATGGCAAGAAAAGCTGGCAACTTCTATGTACCTGCAGAACCCAAATTGGAGTTTGTCATCAGGATCAGAGGTATCAATGGTGTGAGCCCAAAGTTCTGAAAGGTGTTGCGGCTCCTTCGCCTTCGTCAAATTTTCAACAGAACATTTGTGAAGCTTGACAAGGCTTCAATTAACATGCTGAGGATTGTAGAGCCATACATTGCATGGGGGTACCCAAATCTGAATTCAGTAAATGAACTAATCTACCAGCGTGGTTATGACAAAATCAATAAGAAGTGAATTGCTTTGACATTTAATGCTTATGATTGCTCGATGTCTTGGTAAATACGGCATCATCTGCATGGAGGATCAGATTCATAAGATCTATACTGTTGGAAAACGCTTCAAAGAAGCAAATAACTTTCTGTGGCCCTTCAAATTACCTTTTCCACCAGGCAGAGTGAAGAAAAAGACCACTTATTTTGTAGAAGGTGGAAATGCTGGCAACAGGGAGGACCAGATCAACAGGCTTATTAGAAGAATGAACTAAGGTGTCTACCATGATTACTTTTCTAAGCTGGTCAGTTAATAAACAGTGCCTGCTCTCAGATTGAAATAAAAAAAAAAAAAAAAGAACAGTGCATGATAGTCATAAACTTTATTTTTTTAAAGACAACATTAAAATATATTTTCATAAAATAATCATAAACTTTCTACAAATAAATTGTCAGTTTTGGAAATGCAAACAAAATATTTGAGAATTATGGGACGTTCTTCCTTATACATGCACAAGTCCTGTTAATATGAAAGGATTCTGGGCCTAGAAAGGACTATGCTTATATATATGCATAATTTACAGGTGAAAATTGGCATTATTACTGGTGTGAAACTTGGAAGGTCACTGTTGAATAAAAAGGCTGTGAAAGTTTACTTTTTCTCATTGTTTTGCATAAAAGTAAAGACGTACATAGCCACACAAACACACAGAGAAACAAAATCTATAAATGAAAAGTGAAATGTTGCTTTTATTTTCTCCCACTCACATTTCTACTCCCCAGAGATAACTGGTGTTAACAGGTACATAAAGTTTCAAACACATTGATGAATCCATGCAAACAGACAGCAACATAGACACGTATATAAAAGTGTGGGGTTATGAGAGACATGTTTTTCTGCAACCTGCTTTTTATAGTGACCAGTAACATATAATGGATCTTCATCACTGTCAGTGCATACAAAGCTACTTCACTTCTTAGATGGATTTGTTGTTATTCCAAAGGCTGGGTGAAACAATTTATTTAATGCTTTGTGTAGTGATGGACATTTATGTGATGTCAAATAGTGTGAATACTTCTGCGGCAAGATAATAACAATAATAACAATATTTATCATTGCAATAGGTGACATTGTCACATACTATGCACTAAGCACTATGCTAAATGCTTTATGTGCTTAGTCTTCTTAGCAACCTTTTTGAGGCAAGCATTATTAATTGTTCTTTTTAGATGGAGATTTGGAGGCTGGGGAAATGTGACACATTGTCCATTTGACACAATTAATCCTCAACAGAACTACGATTTGAACCCAGGTTTGTCTGTGCCTAAATTTTTAGCCACCACACAAAACTGTCCTAAAAAAACTTCAGTAGAATTACTGAGTAAAAGGACATGTCCATTTAAACTTCTGCAGCATACTATTCCATTTTAGTCTACTCAAATATTTAGTGTATTAAGTACATTCGTGTAACTAAAAGATCATATACTCATTTAGAAATAATGATGTATCTACTCTAGCATTTCATGAAACAGTTTTGAGAGAGCTCATTTCATGTGTCACTGTCATTAGTGTGTTCATAATCACCAGAGTTACTTTTGAGTCTTCCTGCCTAGCTTTTCAGCACACATCATTTTGACTTTCATTTAAGTCGAAGGGGATATAAGACTTTTTGAAACTAGTGTGAATCTGTCCATGACAATTTTATCCTTAGGTCTAAGTAGCCACTCATATTATATTAGAGCATTTTTTTCTATTTTTTATTCTTCCTATAAATGCTATATCTGCTTTCCAACATATAACCAGTTACTGAATTGTCCTTAAAAAGTGATATAAAATCTTTAATAAATACACAAACATATAGACTAGTAGAATGAAAACCTGTGTTCATTAAGTGCCTTTATTTTCATTTTGCTCAGGAAAATGTAGGGAGGTTCCTGGATCTAGCAACAAACTTACTAGATCCAGAGAAGGGTCAAATGATATGGAGACACACACACACACACACACACACACACACACACACACACAGAGAGAGAGAGAGAGAGAGAGAGAGAGAGATAAAGAAAGAAAAAGAACCAAATCAAATCACAACAAAACAGAAACCAAAGCTGAGCAATTTTGTCATATCCAAATTTAATAGAAAAGGAAAAGGAAGGAGCAAAGTCATATACAACAGTTAGTTCACCAGAGTAAGAACTGCTGGTTTAGGCCGGGAGTGGTGGCTCATGCCTGTAATCCCAGCACTTTGGGAGGCCGGGGCAGGCAGATCACAAGGTCAGGAGTTCAACACCAGCCTGACCAACATGGTGAAACCCCGTCTTTACTAACAATACAAAAATTAGCTGGGTGTGGTGGCATGCACCTGTAATACCAGCTACTCAGGAGGCTGAGGCAAGAGAATTGCTTGAACCCAGGAGGTGAAGGTTGCAGCGAGCCATGATTGTGCCACTGCACTCCAGCCTGGGTGACAGAGCAAGACTCTGTCTCAAAAAAAAAAAAAAAAGAAGTGTTGGCTTAAACTGATTAAAGCATCATCAGTGTATCAAATATTTAGAGATTTGGATTGTAAGCAACAGAGACCCACTCTGATAATTTGAGCAGAAAAGTAGTTTATTTACAAGACAGCAAGTAACTCACATAATCTCTAGAAGGGCTGAAGATCCAGGCTTGTTGGATTACATTAGGAAATTAAAGTAAAATCCACGACTCACACCGTAGACCTGGTCCTATGATAACTCCATTGTCACTACCAAAGAGCACGGACTGCACACTTCTTTCCAGCTGTGTTTGTTCCTAGCTCTATGGCTAAAAATACTGCCACTGCTGCCTCTGAAAACTGGATGAGGCCACCAGAGACATATTTGCAAGACTGGGTTTCTATGTAGTATCTGTTTTCTTTTTTTTCATAACATTAGCTTTTTGTTGAAAATCTAGGCACCTGGTCTGATTGGCAGTCTATATCATTTGTCAGTGCTGCTGTTAAGGAGGCTGAGAAGTCCATTATGTGCCATTCTCTTGGTTGTTTGACTCACAAGTTCATATATGGAAAGGTGGGTCAGTTGCTGGGGCTAGTGAAATAATACAGCAACAAATAATGACTCTTATTTGTTGACCAAAAAAATGAGTTTTTCTTATTAAGGATATTTGCATTCCTTACAATTCTAAAAGTAAGTAATTATAGACCATATTGCATGTAATTTCTGAGATGGTTACAGTAGAGAAGAGGTTGACTTTAAGCTTCTTGAAGGATAAGTTGTATAAACATTGGCTCATCAGTCTCATAAAGGAATTCTATTTCCTGCACTAGAACTGGCAACAATTTCATGAGAGCGAAGTGTTCTATACATACTGTATCAAGCTTTTTCATAATCATAATATTTGGAACGTCTGTGGCGCCTTCCCCTTTCAAAGTACTTTAACAAACATTAGCTATAATTGTAAAGAGCTTTAGGATCCTCAGGGATGAAAAGTATTGTATAAATGTGCCATGTAACCATGCCTATTACTTCTGTACATTGCTGCATAAATTATCAGAAAATGAGTAAATGGATTTCAGTCTCATGCACTTGAATGTTAATTGGGAAGAAAAATCTTCTTTCACCAGTTTGGAGATGACAATTATATCACAGTCTATTTGCTTTTGTAGGTATTCACTTTGTTAATCTTGACAGATTATAACCTCAGGTGCACTCTGTGTCTGGAAGTCTTTGTGTGTATCTTGACACAAAGTTTAGTGTCAATTCTGATGTTCAGTCTGCTGTGAAGACAAGCTACAGTATCTGCAGCCTTGCTATATATCACTCTTGTACATGTATCTGGATTCTGCTGAAGCAGAGAATCTAATCCTAGCAGTTATTACTTCACTGAGCAGCCATAATGCTTCTGCGAGTTTTGTTATTGTTTGGTGATGGATTTCAATAAAGAAATTTAAAATACTATGTTAACAATTTTTAAAATATCAAATTCTACACTTTTATTGAGAGACACGTTTATTAACAGTTCTTTCTTGATAGCATGCCAAATACAGGTTGTTGATTCCTGAGGTTTAGTTCTCATTGCACAAAGTTTAATTTTTAAACAATGGCACTCTGTATTTTAGCTTCTCTTAGTTTTGCCAGGCATGAGAAAAAAAAAATCAAATAAGCATAAGGCTTGGCTATTTTAAAGGGAGTTTTCAGATTTTCTGAAATACTACTAATTTTCTTGCCCTTGAATTCTAATATCCAAACTACCACCATAATTAATCCTTTTTAACATCTCTCCATTTCATACTTTATTTTCATATTGAACAAGGCTAGTCTTGACATCTCATGGACCTTCTAAACTATACTCCCACCATGGGTCAAGAAATTCAGTTCTATATTATTTAAATAGGGGTAAGAAACCTCTCACTATTAAGGGCTCATGTCTGAAACATTTCTCTTAAGCCAAAATGTGCTGTTGCAACCTGACCTACTTTAGGTTCAGCCTGGCTTTTGGTCCTTTCCCGTGGATGAGTGAAGCAGGCCTGGCATAACACAACAGGCATCAGTAGAAATTTCAGGTATATGGAGATCATGGCAGCTAAGGAAGATTATTAGCATATGTGAACGTGAATTTTGAGCTGCTACAGCTTCTAATTTGAAAGGGAGCCCAGAAATGCAGAATTTTCAAATAGCAACAGTATAGTCAGAAAATAATAGCACTGCACAAATGCTTCTGTGGACATTTCATCTGGAGATGGCAAACTTTACAACCACGGCTTTCCTTCTTTCCTTGACTTCTAGTTTGACTTCTAGCTCATAGGTTCTGAACCTTGCCAGTTCTCCTAGGCTGCACTCCTGCAGGTGTACCCCAACTTGGTGATGGGGTCTCCCACAGCCACCACTTAAGTTTAGGCAAGTGACACTTTGTGCTTGAGCTATCATGATAGTCCTCAAACCATTTGCTTTGTCTCCAGTTTCTCTCTACTTTAATATAAACTTCCCACAAGTGACAGATTAATCTTCCCCATAGTGGCTTTCATTGTATCACTATCTTGCTCAAAATCCTTTAATTGCTTCGCATTTCATAGAAGAAGAGATTTAAAATCTCACATTAATAAATTGCAGTCCATCATAAGGGCTTACCATGGCCCCATCACTGTACTAAGTGCTTTACATGCATTATCTCATTTAATTATCACATTGAGGTAGATATTATTATCCTTATTCTATGGGTGCAGAAACTGAGGCTAATCTCCCATTGACCTCATTTTATATAATAAAAATATATATAATCCTACAATGGCCTGGAATCATACATTTAAAAATGAAAAAAAAAAAAAATCTCAATTTCTCTCCCAGCTCTACCAATTACCAGCTGGGCATCTTTTTCAGAGAGTCATGAAAACTCTCTAAGCCTCATCTTCATCATCTAGAGAATAAGAAAAACAATGCCTATCCCTCAAGGTTATTCGGGATAAAAGAAAATGATTTAAAATAGTACTCCAGTGACATAAGTTAATATTATTAATGTAAAGCAAAAGATGAGTTTGCGTATCTTACTAAATTAAATGTCTAGGAAGAATACACAATGAAATACATGTTGGTGGAACTGCAGATTGCCTACATAATGTGATTTCATGGCTGCTCACATGACTACTCTAGCTCTTCCTCCTCCTACCGTCTCCACACACACATTTATTGAGTGCAATTTGTATGCTAGATACTGCATTTACAGGAAAGGCAGACATTCAGGATGGCTTCCAGTTTTCTGTGATAAGAATTAGAGGAGGAAGAGTGTGTTTATGGGGGAGAAGAGATTGAGCTCAGTTTTGAACATGTTAATATCTGTAATTTTTGAGTGGACTTCTTAGAAGAGTATCCAAGAGGACAAACATAAAGTTCCATGGCTCAGAACACAAAGCGGGGCTGGAGATAAAAATATGAGAATTTTACACACATGAATTTTTATTTAGTGTCATGGGACAGAATAAGAACACCTGGAGAGGGAATCAGAAGAATATGAAGCCAAGCATCCTGAGTACAATATTTAAAGGTCAGATAAGGAGGAAGAGACAGGAACAGTGACAAGAAAAAAGAAGCCAAAGGTGGTGCCACAGAGGAGGCTGTTTTCAACTATACTGGAAGATTCAGAAGGGTTTCTTGTGTTCTTAGAAAAACAGGTATTAATGAAATGGGGAGCAGAACCCGGACACGATGATTCAACTCTCTTCTTAAGATATGGGAAAATCCTGTTCCTAATGCTATACCCTTTTAAACTGCTGTTACACACTTGTGGTTGGTTTTGGGGGGAAAATCATGAAGATATTGATCATCTGAAGGGCCATGAGAACATTAGGGACTATGAAGTGGTTTTTTTTTTAGTATTTGGCTACAGGCTCGGGGAGTGAGGTCTAATAAGATGGGTGGGACTAACTGTAAAATCTTGCTATATTTTTGCCAAGAGACTGACCTGGTTTTAGTTTTCTGGAGTTTTTATAACTGCTAAAATATGCCTCATTTCATGCTAGTGTTGAAATGGCCTTTATCTTAGAAATCAAACAAGGAGACAAAGCTCCCTTAAAAGTTTGATTTCTCAGGGAAAATGGCTAATCAGCAAAATAGCATTTTCTTTTCTCCTGAGTGCATAGTATGCTGATTTGATTTCTAAATGCTATGGGTGCCATCAAAATGCTGATGAAATCAACTCTGTACACCCTGCCTTAGGGGCAGTACTTGTACCCAAAAGTAAGAAGCAGTGAAAAACAGGCTTGTCCACATATCTGTCTTACCCTTTTCTCCCTTTTTGAAAATATTTCACTGTTATTGTTGTTGCTCTCCATTTATTTTTTAAGAGCATCTGTTAGCACGATGCACTGTTCAAGTCCTAGGGACATATCAGTAAACCAGAGACAAAAATACCCTGCTCTCATGTTGTTTATAGTCTAGTGGGAAGTAGGTTAAAAGATTACTTCCAGAAAGAAAATCATGCACACCCCCAAATGTGTTACTCTGTCAGTGTACTTCCCACATATAATTCATTAATATTTGTTAGCTCATTGGTACTAATTTGTTGTTAGATTATCTAGCTGAAACATCGGAGAGTAGGAGTTGATGAAAATGGAAATAGGGAAAGGTAAATTTTGAAAGCAGGGGTAGACAAAATTTTGAAAAGATTAGAAAAATGGCAGAAGAACAAGAACATCTGTGTTCTTGATGTAGAAAAACACGAGAGTTGGAAAAAAAAGGAGAACAAGGAGATCAGATCATTTTCTACTGTTCATGTCAGTTAAAAGCACTGAGAATTTGGTATTGCTAGTTTAAGCCGGTGGAGATTTGAGGTAAACCCAACCCCACTAACATCACAATTTTGCTATAAGTTTATGAAGCTGAAATACATTCAAAACACCACACCCTTTTCACTTAACACCAAAAAAGACTACATCTATCCAAGACTTAGTGGATAGGAAGGACAAATAAGAAATAACATCTAAACAATCTGTACTAGTAAAGAAAATAAGGTGTCAGTAACTCCAAATATTCCATATTGAACTGATCAGATATTTCTGAAATCAGTGGAGACTGTCCAACAAAATTCTGTCTCCAAACATTACTAAGCTCTTAGCATATCTTCGGTTCTCATTCCTTTCAGATTTGCATGTTGAGAAAATGATTTATGAAATGACTTATGTTATAAAGACTTTAACCCAGTCTGGCAAACAAGAAAGCTAATTAGTGGCAATGATTTACTTCTGATTGGAAATTCATAATGTGCTGGGTCATGACCCGTAATTAATATATTTTCTGCATTTCTTTCTTTAAGATAATTGATGGTGCATACTGAGTGTTGCTTTAGGAAAACTTGTGTCTTAAATGCAATTAAAATTAAACCATAATCTTGTGTAGGTAAATTATGTTAGACAATTCAAATCAAAGAATCTTCAGAGTCTCATAATAACAGAAGAATTAAATGTCTTATTTAAAATCATACTGAATAAACATAACCTCATAGAAAACACACTTCTTTGTTTCCTGAAACGGCATTAAAATATATAGTCATAACAAGTCATTGCTAGAGAGAAAATATTCTCCCAAGTTATCAGTTAGTAGAGTACAATGTATAAACCAAAAACAATTTGGAAGGCCTCCCCCAGCCATCTGAATGGACTTCCTCCTCAGCCAGGGCTCTTTTATCATTTAACCTGAGAGACTGTTTCAGGCCATACCAGGAAGTGGAGTCAGACATGTCTCATTATACCTCTGTGGCATTAACATCAACACAGATTTTAAGTCTGATCAGAGACATTTTACAACCTATTCTCTCTAAAGCCTAGTACCTAAAAGCTTCCTCTGCAAATAATAACTTGGGTCTCCATAACTATCTTAACCCAGGCATTTCTTTCTGTTAATCCCAGGTCTTCAGGTAAACCCAAGCAATTGCCAACCTGAAAAATTTTAAATGCACCTATAAGCTGGAAGCCCCACTTCAAGTTGTCCCACCTTTCTGGACCAAACCAGTGTATTTCTTAAATGTGTTTGATTGAAGACTCATGTTTCCCTTAAATGTATAAAACCAAGCTGCACCCTGAACATCTTGGGTACATGTTCTTAGGAAGTCCTGAGGGCTGTGTCACAGGCTGTGGTTACACATATTTGGCCCAGAATAAATCTCTTCAAATATTTTACAGAGTTTGACTCTTTTGGTCGACAATTGAAACTAGTAAGAATATTTATTGAGTTTTTTTGTATTGAGAAAATTTTACAACTAATAAGGGATGGAAAAAATAATGTAATAAAAATACTTGTACTTAACCAGAACTATTGCTAACATCTTTTATATTTGCTTCACCTTTGTTACTAATAAAGTATTATTGAGAGTATTATTGAGACAAAGTCATCCTTGTCCTCCTCACAGAGGCAATCATCATAAATTATGCTGAATTCATTTTTATAACCTACTTTTTTATACATAATTGATATATTTTATGAGGATATTTTCTAAAATTTTACATAAATAGCATTCTAGTGTATACATTATTCTATGGTTTGCTTTGTAACTCAATATCATGGTTTTTAAATCTATCAACGTGTGTTTTTTCTTGTATATTCTATTTCTATTAACTGCCATATGTTCCCATTTACATACACACGAACATACGGTTTTTAGCTTATCCATTAGGTAAATGATAGACATTGAGTTATTTTTCTTTTTTTGTTCTTTCAAACCATGTTGCCATAAATATCCCTGTACATCTTCCCCTTGTGAGCTTGTATAAATGTTACTTTACAGTATAAACATAAAGGTGGAATTGCTGGTTGTGTACATTTTCAATTTTACTGATAATGCAAAATTCCTCTCCAAAACTATTATTTCAATTCACCTTCTCACAAGCAGAATTGGAGAGTTAGTAGTCATCGCCAATCCTTGATATTGTTAAACTTTAAAATGTCTGCCTATCTATTTTACCTCTCATTTATTTTATTCATTTTGTGGATGTTTTGCATGTCCCTGGTTATTAGTAAAGCTCAGAATTGCTCCCTAAATTAATATGCTGTTTGTCTTTCTCTTTAGTGGATTTTCTGGTCATAATCCTTTGTTGATGTTTCTTTTTTTAAAAATGCATCTTATAGAATTATTTGCCTCTCTAAAACATCTTAAAAAGAAAAATACCTTTGTAAAATCAGAATCGATACAAAGTATAGGCAGTAAAGGTACGGCCTTCCACTTAACCTCATTTGCCTCCCATTCTGCCCAGATCCTATTTAAAAGTGCTTGGGAATTATAAAAGTTTTATAAAAACAGGGCTTCATGCTGCAGGTAGTCTGGTATTTGCTAAAGTCTTCAAAATAATTTCATTTAGAACCTAGAGACTTTGCACAGGAATTGTCCTGTCACTTACAAATATGCCCATACCAGCACTGACATTGCTTCTAGCAGTCCTTTTTAGGAGGCTGCAACCAAGTGAAATCTGGCATATGTCAAAGTGATGGGTATGAAGAGATTCAGTGCTCTTAAATAACATCATTGCTTTGTAAGGACTGAACATTATACAAGAGTTTCCTGCAATCTGATTCTTACCAATAAATCGCTCAAAAATCTCCACAGGTTCTTCTCATGATTGTTGCAGAGAAGCAATTAAAAGGGAAGTCAGAAGGCATGCAAGGGGAATTTCCAGAGGAGGCCCGATGAAAGAAAGAACTTGAAATTGTGAAGTCATATATATAAAACAGTAAAATGCAGCAGATGAGAAGTAAAATAAGTAAGTGGATGGTGAAACATTCCAAACATACATGCGTGCAGGTATATATACATACATATGCATGTATATGTAGACATGCACTTTTGTATGGTTCTGAAATATATCAATATGTGTGAAATGTGTTTGTTAATCAAAATCACGGTTTTGAAATCTATCAATATATATGTTCCATATATAGTGTATTCCTGTCAACAGATATATTTTCATTCGCCTGTGTGCTCAGGCACACACATGTGGAAGGGTATATATATTCTACACACACACACATACATGATTCGGAGGACTCATTCAGCAGAACATGAATATCTAGCAAGCAGTTTGACGAGTCTGTAATATTTACATCTAAATTTATTTCATTTGCCCAAATGAATCACTCTTTACATAACCTATCTGGAAAGGATTCTTTTAGGTAAGAATTGTCAATATGATTAGAATTTAATATTTATATAAACCCAACAATGCACTAGGTACTGCAAAATTGAGGAAATTAGAGCAAAGTTGTAACTTTCACATTTATCCACCTAAAGATAATATTTTTCAACCTCTGGCTACTGTATTTTCAGGCACTGAGAAAAATCTTTATTGAGGCTGCTTTCTAAACATGCAAAGATTAAGTTTGCTCACTTATATTTAGACAGTAACTACATAGGTTATAAGACTTGAAGAATAATAAAAATGAGGTGAGAGGAAAACTGGAAGTGGAGGTAGTAACAATGCCTTACATTTTTGGGAGAGAATAGAAAATATAAAATCAGATCCAGCACTGGAGAATTAAAACAGAGTTTTAAGTAAGTTGCTGTCATAAAAATCAATTCAGCAAATATTCATTAAATAGGTGCTTTCCGTATTCTAAGTTCACCCCTAATTAATTGGTTTAATAAATCAATTGCTTTAGTGAAATAATAATAGTAAAATATACTAATATATATATAATAATATAATAATCATATAATTATAGCCTATGGGGCAATTTGATTATGTGTTTTATAATTCAAACAAAATTAGCTGAACTGTGAGTTACTAAGTAGGAGGGGATTGAAGTAAACGAGCATTATGAAAAGGCAACATGGCATTTGAAGACATTTGTGGATTATACCATTGTTATTTAATAGACCAAAAATATCATGGGATTTACAGTCCAAGTTGTTTTTTTTTTTTTTTTTTTTTTTTGAGATGGAGTCTCACCCTGTCACCCAGGCTGGAGTGCAGTGGTGCGTTCTTGGCTCACTGCTACCTCCACCTCCGGGGTTCAAACGATTCTCCTGCCTCAGCCGCCCGAATAGGTGGGATTACAGGCGCCCGTCACCACGCCCAGCTAATTTTTGTATTTTTAGTAGAGTTGGGGTCTCATCATGCTGGCCAGGCTAGTCTCAAACTCCTGACCTCATGATCCACCCACCTCGGCCTCCCAAAGTGTTAGGATTACAGGTGTGAGCCACCGGGCCCGGCCCTGTAGTACAAGTTCTTTAGGCTATATCTTCTCCCTGCTAGAAGCAAATTTTTAAAGTTTGAATAAGTAATAGTGCATCAGTTTCCTCATCTGCAAAACTACTGCTCATTCTCAGTGTCATGAAAATCGAATACATTGCATATGCCAAAGTACATTAAAGTTATTAGTAAACTCACATGCAAACATTACCTGTTATAATACCAAAACTTACATTCATCAAGACATGTAGCTCAGCCTTTCCTATTAAAATCTTTACCAAGTGGCTAGAAAGTTGTCTCCTAAAACTTGGGATCAGAATATCAAAATCTGATGTCAAAGGCTGCATGATGTCCTTCCTTTTGAAAGAAATCTTTCAGTCTGTCAGCCAGTCATTTAAGAGTAGGTAATTTTATTGAGTGCTCTCTCTGCCAGGATATTGAATTCCTTCACCCATCTCAAAAGCTTTGTGTTATCTTTGAGTCCTAGCTCTCCTTTGTGTTCCATGCCTATCTGTTATGAAACAGCATGGGCAGCCTCCATTGCACCTGACTTTGCCGTTCTGGACCCATGAGCTCAGCTGTATTTCATTTCCTGTTTTTGATGTCCATGAGATTGCTAATTCTATCGTTATATAGAAAAAGGATTACTCCAACCAGTTTCAAGGTGTTGCTGATCCTTACAACCAAAATAGCCATAACTAGAATACTTTCTGGCTTCACACCTTCACATACGATCTATCTTATATGGAAACTATATTATTTGCTTTGACCCCCTAAAACTCTATGTCTTTGCTTGTGTATTAACCTTTTTATTCTTACCTGTTGAAAGTTCAGTTCTTCCTAAAAAGTTCAGTCTAAATGCTATTGCTTTAAAAAATCTTGTTTCATTCTAGTCACCAGCTGTGAGATTTTACATTACCCTCCTTTGTCTAACATCTCTTGTAATAATTCCTTTCCTGTATTTATTACATTTACTTTGCTATATGCTAGTTTTATCCTTTGCTATATGTTACTATACTTCGGTCATTCTTTACTCATTTTCCATCCCTCAACCTCAGGCACCAGATACATATTTCTTACTCATTTCTAAGACCTACACATGCAGGATGGTGCCTTAGTCACGATAAGGATAGATGTTTGTAAAAGAAATAAATAGATAAAAAAATAAAGAATGAGAACAACACTATACTACAGGACCCCTTCTAGGAAAAACTTAGAATGCTGAAAATGTATTACCAGGAAAACCTTAGAAGGAAATAAAAAAATGAACATGTGCTGTTTCTTCTGGAAGTCCTGCTTTTGGAAAATATTTTAGTGTCTTTTCTTGTCCTGTTCTTTTCAGTGTTCTGGTGGGCATGGGGCCATCTGGGAAGCACTTGGGGTCACCAGCAGATGGAAGGACCCTAACTATGGACTCAACACTAATTGAATTTTAAAAATACATTAGTATGATCTACATTCTGTTTTCTGGCAACATTTCAATAGGAAGGCTTAAAAACCTCCAGCAATCCACTGATGAGACAAATGTCAATGAAAAATTGATAAGTAGCTGTGATATAGCTAGTTGGAGTAACAATAAGTAGAAAGCAATTTAAAAGGAACTGAAGAACTGAATATGGATCACATATTGACCACTAAAATAGCCAATATTATCATTCATCCTTCTCAGTTGAGTTTTCTCAGTAGGTGATACCATTCAGCTGAAGAAACCAATTTATCTATTCATTTCATCTCAATTATTCATGAATTTTGTCTCACTAAGGAGACATGAGGGCCAAGGAAAGATGAAATCTAAAAGTTGAGATCGTACTCAATCTTGTCCTATTGAGTTGGAAGAGACTTTAGAAAGACTTTTTTCTTTTTTTGTTTTTCTCAGTTTGCTTCCCACAGAAAGTCTCTTCTGCAAAAACCTTGGCAAGCCATTGCTAACCTCTAAATAGTCAAATGAATGGTTCATTTTGTCATTCAGATTTCTTCTCACACATCACCTAAGGACTTCCCTGATCAGGCCATCTAAATCACAGCTATTCTTGAATCAATTTAATATAATATTGTGCTCTTTTATTTTCTTCAAGCACTTATTACTTTTTTTTGTTTTGTTTTGTTTTTTGAGACGGAGTCTCACTCTGTTGCCCAGGCTGGAGTGCAGGCTCCACCTCCTGGGTTCAAGCGATTCTGCTGCCTCAGCCTCCCGAGTAGCTGGGACTACAGGCGTGTGCCCCACCACACCTGGCTAATTTTTGTATTTTTAGTAGAGATGGGGTTTCACTATGTTGGCCAGGCTGGTCTCGAACTCCTGACCTCAGGTGATCCACCCACCTTGGCCTCCCAAAGTTCTGGGATTACAGGCATAAGCCACCATACCCAGCCTCAAGTGCTTATTACTATACAACGTAGTTAGGTTTATTTATTAGTTTTTTGGTTTATTATTGAGCTTGGTCCAACAGAATGTAAGGTCTACAAGAGCAAGGACCTTGTTTAGATTCCTCAGCAATATGTCCGAATTATAAAGAACACTTCCAGGCACATGGCAAAAATCCAATTAATATGTGCTGCATGTTGTTGAATAAAACTAAGATATATTTGAAATCCCCAGTCGTTATCTTGTGAGGCAGCCTGAAGCCTCTATTCCTAGAGGTCTTCTAGTTTTGGAGCTGGAATCTGTCATGCTATAACTTGTCTAGTTAGATCCAGTTCAGGCTTCTAAAACATAGATGCTCTATCTTAAACTTGAGTCATCTAATATCTTAAACTTGATTCATCTGATAGTTGAAGACTCAGCCTCGAGTCAATAAACAAGTTACTGAGTTTTAATCCTTTGCCACTCCCTCTGCTAGGCACTAAGACTGCAAGATGAACAAGATTCAACCACTCTCCTCAAGGAGCCCCATCTCTACAGATGGATAATGGTTTTCCCCATGTCTTCTTTTCTCTTGGCTTCACAATGAGTTATGTTGCCCATATGGCAATTTAGCATTTAAATGGGGAACACCTTTCTCAATGAAGCTAAAATGATACCTTTTATCTTAAATTGTACAACTTTCAAATGTGAATTATCAATGACGAATCAAATCCCCTGGCTTACACCTCTAAATAACCTTGCAGAATTTCTTTTTCACAATTAGGAAACATAATTCTGCTAACCATTGTTAGGAATATTTTTATTCACACAAGTTTAATTCAGTGATATGAATTATATCAGAATTATATTTATGTCCTCTCTGTGCTCTTCTCTTCTTAATTGTCTTCTTTTAATAAACTCCACTGCAAGAAGATGAATTTGTTTTTGGTTTACAGTGTTTCCAAAGGCATGATATGGAGACCTTGATAGCTTACGAAGTGATAAAATTTTCTGTAGGCAACACACATAAATAAAATGATTTGTTTTAACTTGTAGTCATTACAGGCACTGCCAGTTGTATTTCTCTCCATAGCAGAATTAAATAGATGTTTTCATTCTGGCAGAAATCTCACTCCCCCACTTTTGCTTTTGTCTCTCTCCTGAGAGGTATGAGACCTCCTCTGTCAACTCAGACGCTCTTACTGTCACTAGGCAGAAAGAAAGCAAATCTCCATGTATGACTATCGTCTGCCAATAGATTTGGCTGTCAACCACCCAAAAGCACTGTCACTCAGTGTCAAAGCGCTAACAACAAAGCAATTATCCGCACAAAAAAGAAAGAGAATCAGAAGACCCAAGTTATGCAGATAAAACAGAGCCAGTGAAAAATGTAACCAGTGCCTCTGAAAACTAAAGTGTCTTCCTCCTGCTTTTCTTCCCCTCCCCAAATTCTGCCACATCAACCATAAGGCAGCCTTCGCAATTTTCTAATTTGAAGTTTTATATGCATTTCTGATTATTTTTGGAAATAGCAATAAAGTAAATAGTTTTCCATAGAACATACATTCTTTTGTATTAATGGTTCTACCTTATTTCTAGGACAATAATATATTCAGGAGCAATTAAAATTCAGACAAATTTGACTCAATTTATGACAGCCAAGCAGTAGCAGCCTCACCAAAAAAGGTTGTCACACGGGGGATATATTTTTTTCAAATATACTATTTTAATATTTCAGGGATTGGTTTTATAGGGCCATTAAAGCAAACATATTCTCATTGTTTAGGTGATATTGAAATCTCTTTAAAAATTACAATAATACACAGAATTATCCCAATTTTGTTGGGTGAAAATATACGTGAATAGAAAGCAAATATATATATGAGCATGTCAATTAAAATAATTGCCATATGTTGGAGTTATGGGTATACTTTCTCTTTTTAAAATTTTTTTACTAATATCTATAATAAATATATATCATTTTATAAACAGGAAAATAAGTTATTTTATTTATTTATTTTTTGAGACGGAGTCTCACTCTGTCACCAAGCTGGAGTGCAGTGGTGCAATCTTAGCTCACTGCAACCTCCGCCTCCTGGGTTCAAGTGTTTCTCCTGCCTCAGCCTCCCAAGTAGCTGGGACTACAGGCGCCCACCACCACTCCCGGCTAATTTTTGCATTTTTAGTAGAAATGGGGTTTCACCATGTTAGCCAGGATGGTCTTGATCTCTTGACCTCGTGATTCACCCACCTTGGCCTCCCAATGTGCTGGGATTACAGGCGTGAGCCACCACGCCCAGTCCAAGTTATTTTATTTTTAAATAGCTTATCAACAGCCATTACCAGCTATCATTAACCTAAATGTTAATATTTAGGTATATATCACTCTAGAATTTTTCTTTACATGCTAATATCTATATATATATTTCATTCATTTACTCAAAGAACGCTTATTGTTTATCTACTATGTTCTAGGCTTTGTTCTGCTCCCTACATATAGCAGTAAAAAAATGGGGTGGGACAGAAATCTCTATCCTCTTGGAGCACAGCTGGAAGAGAAAAGCATAAATAAGTAAAATATGTACAGAATTTTTTATATTGATGGGTGGCATGGAGAAAATAAAAAGAGAGAGAGAAAAAACAGAGAATCTACAAAACAAGGAGAAAACAAATAATAAAATGGCAGTAGTAATTCCTCAGCTATCCATAATTCTTTGAAGTTAAGTGGATTCAATTCTCCAATCAAAAGACATAGAGTAGATGAAAGGATTTAAAAAAAAAAAAAAAAAGGACCCAACTATAGGCTGCCTAGAAGAGACTCATTTCATCTTTAAGAACACACATAGACTGAAAATGAAGGTATTCCATGCAACTAGAAACCAAAATAGAGCAGGGGTAGCTATGCTTAGATACAGGGGATTCTTTTAAATGGACAGAATAGAATTGGAAGCAGAAAAAGAACAAATTAATATTTGGGTTTGATGAAGCTTGAGAATGTATATTAAACATTGCAACTCTAAATAAATTTTAATCTTTTGGCTACGAATAAGCCCTGTATGTATGAATCAGGAATTCAAATTAATGTTTGCATCCAAATATGGTGAAACAATAGTGATTGCTTAACAAATTAAATTTTCTTCCAAGTTATGTAGTTTTTTTAAAATTTTCATTCCTATATTTATTCAAAACACTTTTATTAAGTACACACAGTGTGCCTAAAAGTATGGTAAGCTCCAGGGATACAGTACTGAAAAGTAAGACCCAATCTTGGCTGTCCTTGGAAATGAGAGTCTACTAGTAAGAACAGATGAAAGCAAGCAGATGAAAAGATAACTCTTGACTAGGATATCAAGGTAGTTCAGCTTTATTTCTGACTCTATATTTTATTCACTCCTTGCCTCTGGCCATGTCATTCCCTTTATCTGGAGCAAGTCTCCATACTCTATAAAATGAATGAGATAGGCTGATATCGCAATCTTTAATTTTCATGTGGCTCTAAAAATTTTTCTAATGCTTTCATTTGATAGTTTCTAAGGTCTCTTCCTATTAGCCACATTCATATTTCTCACAGAAAGACAACATGGCTTACTAAAAATACTTTTACACAACACTGAAAATAGATGCTGACCTTTTTTCCCACTGAAATCTGTACATTTTACTTAAATCAGTGTCATCATCACCTTTTCATCAATATTATTATATTTTCCAGATAATTAAATTTGTATAACATAATGGGAACATATAATAGAAAAAACACAATTGATAAAATTATTCAAAATAATCAGATGTTTAACAATGTAAAACGTTGGAGGGATGCTAAATAATCATTTGTTAAATTGTTAACTAAAATTGTTAATTTAAACATTCACAGAATTTTTAGTGTCCTACATCACTATGTGATGTAGATGAAGGAATTAAGTGTACATCAGCCCAAAATATGCTGCTTCGGCATATTGACTATTTTGATTTAAAGGCACTTGAAAAACAGCAGGTGCAGGAAGATCACTCTGACCTTTATGCAGTTTGTTTCTTTTATTTATTTTTTCTTCCAAGACTGAGTCTTGCTCTGTCGCCCAGACTGGAGTGCAGTGGCACGATCTCAGCTCACTGCAAGCTTTCCCTCACGGGTTCAAGAGATTCTCCTGCCTCAGCCTCCCGAGTAGCTGGGATTACAGACGCCCACCACTACGCCCGGCTAATTTTTGTATTTTTAGTAGAGATGGGATTTCACCACGTTGGTCAGGCTGGTCTTGAACTCCTGACCTTAGGTGATCCACCCGCCTTGGCCTCCCAAAGTTTTGGGATTACAGGCATAAGCCACCGCGCCCGGCCTGTGCTGTTTCTTAAAAGCAGGAGATAAAATTTCCATGTTAAAGATACCCTCTCTATACTGGAAGAAAAAATGACATTATTATCAAGGATGAGAAGTTGAGGCTGAGAGAATTTTGTACAGGCCTTATGAAAATAATTCTTATCTTCTAGCCTCCCCATATATTTTTGTTACTTTAGCACAACATACTACTCTTTGTTCACTTCAGTATATACGCGTGTAATATTAACTGCATCTTTGGGCCTTCATTTCCTTATGAAAGCCCCTGTTTGCTATGTAAAACTTAGGTAAATTTGTATGATATTCTCCTGCTGATCTGCCTTGTCAGTTTATCTCTCAGGCCCAGATGAAAACTCCTATGAGGATGTCTCAGTAAATACAACAGACTGGATAATGTGTAAAGAATAGAAATTTATTTCTCACATTTCTGGAAGTTGTAAGTTCAAGATCAAGGTGCTGGCATTTGGTGTCTGGTTGGGGCCTTCTTGCTATGTCCTCACATGATATAAGGCAGAGAGGTAAAAAGGGAATGGGCTTCCCCCATCAATCGCCTTTATAAGGGCACCTAATCCTATTCATAAGTGTGAAACTCTCATGACCAAATCACCTCTTACAGGCCCCATATCTTAACACCATCACATTAGCAACACCTAAATTTTAGGGACACATTTAAACTATAGTAAAGAATAGAAGTACCATTTGCTTCTCCTACAAACATCTGTCATTAATCTAGCTATGTTTCTTTGTCCTCTGGGATTTAATTTTTCCAGGTGAATCTTATCAAAATATGAAAATATGATCTTAAAAGAAAAAAGTTATACAATGCCATGAATATTAATTTTGGTCCCCTTAGATAAGTGATATATAATTTTATAAATTATTGATTATCATGAGAATATGAGTCTGTATAAAGAACTGGATTAGGAGAAATACTTTGTACATGGAATATTAGCAATATTTAATTTTTAATAGAAGGCAAAAATTTCTATTAATACTATGCAGCCATAAAAAGGAATGTGATTATATCCTTTGCAAGGACATGGATGAAGCTCTAAGCCGTTATCCTTAGCAAACTAATGCAGGCACAGAAAACAAAATATTGCATGTTCTCACTTATAAGTGGGAGCTAAATAGTGAGAACACATGGACACACAGAGGGGAATAACACAGACTGGGGCCTATCAGAGAGTGGAGGGTGGAGGGTGGGAGGAGGGAGAGGGAGAGGATCAGGAAAAATAATTAATGGGTACTAGGCTTAAAACTTGGGTTATCAAATAATCTGTACAACGAACCTCCATGATTCAAGTTTATCTATGTAACAAACCTGCACATGCATCCCTGAACTTAAAATAAATATTAAAAAATTAATGAATTTGTCTATTATAAGCCCGTTGCTAAAAAATTTTTAAATGTAGAATACATTATATAATTCATGTCCAAAATCTGAATTGTAATACTTGATACTGAAAAGTTCCATGCTCATGTCTAGCCATATGCAGAAGCATTAAACTGGACCCCTACCTTTAACCATATACAAATATTAACTCAAGATGGATTAAACACTTGGATTTCTAAGTTTTCTTATAAGATTCTTACAGCTGGACATTGGCCTTGGGAAAGAATTTGACTAAGTCCTTGAAAGCAATTGCAACAAAAATAACAATTGACAAGTGGGACCTAATCAAACTAAAGAGCTTCTGCACAACTAAAGAAACTATCAACAGAGTAAACAGACCACTGACAGAATGGAAGAAAATATTCAGTAACTATGCATCTGACAAAGGTCTAATATCCAGAATCTGTAAGGAACTTAAACAACAGAAAAAGCAAACAACAAATATCCCCATTTTTAATGAAACACATGAACAGATATTTCTCAAAAGGCTTTCAAGCAATGAATAAACATATGAAAAAAAGCTCAATGTCACTAATCATCAGATAAATGCAAATCAAACTACAATGAGATAGCATCTCAAACCAGTCAGAATGGCTATTACTAAAAAGCCAAGAAACAACAGATGCTGGTGAGGATTCAGAGACAAGGGAATGTTTATTCACCGTTGGTGGGAATGTAAACTAGTTCAGCCACTGTGGAAAGCAGTTTGGAGATTTCTCAAAGAATGTAAAACAGAACTTCCATTTGACCCAGTAATCCCATTACTAGGTATATATCCCAAAGAAAATAATTTGTTCTACCAGAAAGGAACATGTGCTTGAATGTTCATCACAGCACTATTCACAATAGCAAAGACAGAATCAACCTAGGTGGCCATTAATGGTGGATTAAAGAAAAAATGATACATAAACACCATGGAATACTGCACAGTCATAAAAAAAGAACAACATTCTGTCATTTGCAGCAACATGGACGCAGCTGGAGGTTATTATCCTAAGCGAATTAATGCAGGAACAGAAAACCAAATACTGAATATTCTCACTTATAAGTGGGAGCTATACATTGGTACTCATGGACATAAAGATGGCAATGGTAGATACTAGGGACTGCTGGAGGGCAGAGGGAAGAGGGCAGAGGGAGCAAGGGCTGAAAAGCTAACTATTGTGTTTTATGCTCAGTATTTGGGTGACACGATCAATAGTGGCCCAAACCTTAGCATCACCAAGTATGCTCGTGTAATAAACCTGCACATGTATCCCCAAACCTAAAATAAAAGTGAAACAATTAGCATGTAAAATATATTCCTAAGTAAAACTGTAGGAAGAAATATAAAATCCTTTAAGCAGAGATAATATATTGGAAACTTTTTGACTATTTTTGTTTTTATTTACATTTTCCCTAGTGTTTACTAATAGATTTGGTTTGGTAACTCTCCTTTGAAGATAAAGGTGTATCCTGTCTTTCAATATGAGAAACAGTAAAATGAGTCAGCGATATATGATAGAATAATGTGAAAAAGCAAAGCCAAAAATCATCAGAGAAATTCTATACTCATTTTGTTGGACTTCTACACAGTAGCCAGGAGTCTATTATGTGTGTGTGTGTGTTTTCCACAAGGCAACATTAAATATTAAAGAACTTTGAATCTAATTTTGAGATAGAATTCTAACTCCAGGCCGAGGGCAGTGGCTCAAGCCTGTAATCCCAGCACTTTGGGAGCCTGAGGTGGGTGGATCACAAGGTCAAGAGATCAAGACCATCCTGGCCAACATGGTGAAACCCTATCTCTACTAAAAATACAAAAATTAGCTGAGTGTGGTGGTGCGTGCCTGTATTCCCAGCTATTTGGGAGGCTGAGGTAAGAGAATCATTTGAACCCGGGAGGCAGAGGTTGTATTGAGCCAAGATCGTGCCACTGTACTCCAGACTGGAGACAGAGCAAGACTCCATCTAAGAAAAAAAAAAAAAAAAAATTCTCACTCCAAGCCAATTCTCCAAATAAGAGAGAGAAATTAGGAAAGCAAAAGTGATTTTCAAAAAGAAATAGATAGTCATGATGTGGTATTGAATAACCTCAGGACCCCTAGACTACGTGTATCTTCTCCCGTCATGGGCAGGTGTATTTTATTCATCTTTGATGCCCCATCACACAGCACAACGCTGGCACATGGTGTAATATCTGCTAATATTTATCACATTGAAATTAATCAAATGGACTTTGTAAATTAGGCCATCCTGGTTTTACTACAATTTCTATAATCAAACTGGCTATTTGCATCGATGACCTCTATCATAGTGTTCAACTCAAAAATTATATTGGTCTAGTTATTTGGCAGGAAGAACATACTAATTATTAAAAAATCTTAAACAGTAAATATATCTTCCTTATTTTAGGTAATTCAAATTTTGAAAACCACATACATGTACTTACATATATATACCATACTCACTACATTCTAAATGATTACTTATATTTCAACCCTTACATTTATGAACAGTTTTGGACTGATATAGAAAAACTCCAGAATGAAGGGTTGTCTTTCATTTCTTCATTTTCCAAGGCATCAAAAATTTATTTTCAAATTATGAGAGAAGCGACTGCTATATTTTATAAACTGAAAACCTGGTGGAAGCTTAGGCTATAAATTATTTTGTATATATTTTATGTAGTGTTGGAAATATATATCTATTGTATTTCAGGTTGAGGAAAGCATTATCTTGGGTTTATTTCAAACTTCATAAAAGTTGCTTGCTAGATGTCTCCACTGAAATGATGATGATAATGATGTTGATAGCAAATGCTCATCTAGCCTGACCTGACCCTATTCGAAATGCTTTACACATCTTAATTCATTTAATTCTAATAGCAATCCTATGAGGCTATTGGTATCCCCATTTTACAGATGAGTATACTAAATTTAAGAAACTTGCCTTGATCAAATAGCTTGTAAGTAGCAGAGCTGGAATTTGATCTGATGCATTCAACTCCACGTTTTTAACTATTATATTAATGATGTCAGTGTTAATAAGACATGTGTATGTGTATATATATATGTGTGTATATATATATGTGTATATATATGTGTGTATATATATGTGTATATATATATGTGTGTGTGTGTGTGTATATATATATATATATATATATATATATATATATATATGTATGTATGTATATATGTATTCCATGAAAAATACTAAAATATATTAACCAGTGACCGGTACAAAACAAAACAAAAAACAGTTGACTTCATCTTAAAGATTACCTTCCAATTCAGTTATTATAGAATAGGTACTTGGAATTCAATAAGGGTTTTGGGGGTAGCATGAGATCAAATCATTTCCTGGTGTCTAGACATAAAATAATGTAATTCCTTAAAAATTCTAAGACGAGAATAGTTAATTTTCGATAAAATGACCCTGCCAACTTAATTTTGAAGCAATGAGAATTAAGGATAAATATTTCTCTTTGCACATATTCATTTTGAATGATCGGTTGACAGAGTGCCAATTTCAGTTCACTTGATAATTATTAACAATTTTACTGACTGAATTTTGTACAATTTAATTCTATTTTAAAATGAAATTCTACTCCTATAGAACATTTTCAACATCGTCATCATCTAAAGGACTTATCAAATGTGTTAAATAAATGCAGGTCTAAGTCAAAGACTTAGAACCAATGAGATAAAAGAAGTCAATATTTACAAAGTAAGCTAAGCATTTCTGCTTTCCAGTATACATTTACTAAAAGCAAAATTAAAAGTGTAGAAAACGTATGTGGCTTTCTTCCATATACAAATATAACATTAATTATGTAAACTAGGAGAAAAAGTCACCAAACAGTTCATTGCTAACAAGTTGACCTTGAAATAGTAATAGATGTTAACAGAGAGCAAAAATTAACACTTGGACGGATTTCAAATTTTGAGAAGAAAAGGACAAATTTTACCTATGCTCTCTGATATTGTGAAAGTAAAGAAAACACGTTGGCTTTTCTGGAGAGTCCTTGCTTGAAAAGGGTTCATTCCTCAGGTTGACCCCCAAATGGTTTTGTAACAGTTCGAAGGGGTCTAGAATATGCCAAAATGGCATAAAAATTATTTTAAGCTGAAGGCATTTGAGTCCCTGAAATACCTTCTCTGCTGAAAAGCAGTCTCCCAGAAGAACAAAAAAACTCAATTGCCACAAATCCTCTTCCTAGGAGTAACTCTAATCATCTCAGAGAAGTCAGCACCATACCCAGACATTGTGACAAAGGTATTGTATCTCCCATTTATTCTCCTGAGGGCGCATTTATCTTTCCCCAAAGTCACTAGTTTTCTGATAAGTGCCCCTTTCCCTCATCCTCACTTCTCATCCTTTTCACCCATTAAGATGGTATCTAAGCCTCAAATTCTAACTACCACTTTAAGTCACATGTTTCTGTGAAGTTCCCATATGTATGCATATGATTAAAATCTGTTTTTTTTTTTCTCTTACTCATCTGTGAATGTGAGTTTAATCGACAAGGCCCCCAATATCAGAACATAGAAGGATGGAAGAAAAGGTTTTTTTCCTAGACAGTTTCTTTTTGTCTTTGTGTCAAATGGGCCAGACTCAGAGATGAGTTCACTAAGAAAAAAAGGAAGTCCTGATTTCTCCCTTGCTCTGCATTTTACTGTAGCGATCCAGCTCTCCTATTAGAACTTTTATAGATCTGCTTTTATTTCATTTTAAAGGTGTGGGTCTCTACGTGGTCATTTTTTGTTTGTTCTATTTTTGTTTGCATTTTTTTGGTCTTATCTCTTGCACTTCCAAATCTAATAGCTGGAAATATAAAAGAAGTCCAGAAACTGTGTCATGTTTAGTGCATACGAATGGGTTTCTTAGAGTCTTTGCCAATTTGGGTATCTCCCAACTTGGAAAATCTCCCAGATGGGTGCACTTTAAAAAGTTATGTCATTCTTCAAGTTGTTGTTGACAAATGTTTCTGTGGATGCTAATAAATATAAATGCTATTTCTTTTTAAGACTAAGGATAGAAGTAGAGCATTTACAGCAGCACATTAGAGATTTTTATCAGCCAAAAGTAAAAAAGGGCCTGGGAGAGAGACAGAAACATTACAATTGTATTACAGAGATTAATTCATGTGTGGGCTGTACTGTGGTATGGGTTTCTGAAGGATTCTAGCCAGAGTGTGGAAGTGGGACCGTGTCTGTGTGCATGTGGGAGAGGTTAATTCACATATCTAAAATTTTAAAATAAAAAAGTACTCCTAATTTGAATTGTGGTAATTGTTCCTATTATGAAGGCTACAGGTTAGCGTTCATCCCAACAAAAATGGAATCTTTGGGTTTGCTAATCTGATTTTTCCCAAACTGCACTCAAAATATTCAAAATCTTCACTGGGTGGCAGATGGGAAAGAATGAGAAATGAGGACAGGTTCTCGTCACCTGAACAAAGCACAGGATTTTCTACAGACACACACAGTGGAGAGAAAATAATCCCAGCTCATCACATTATCCTGAATCTGAGTAGAGAATCCCGTTTCTTACAATTGGGTTTTTTCCAATTTCTCTTGCTTCATTCAAACAAACACTGGGAAAAGAGAAAGAAAAATAGAAAAACTAAGTGACTCAAAGCAGAGATCCAAATAACACAATTTCTAAAGCACGATAATTCCTTTGGAAGTTCAAGGTTAGGAGAATATCAAATTGATTCAAAATAAAATAAGCATTAATATTTAATATGATTTTCTCCTGTCCCTGAGCCAGTCAGACATTTGGTCCCTAGCATGACATTAATGAGCCTGAGAGTTCCTTGAGAGAGACACCATGTCTGCTTTATTTCTTCATACCCCATGGGAACTGTCCCAGTGACTACTATTTAGAAGGTACTCAATATATATTTGAAGAGAGAAATCATAAATAATTAGCCCCATATTTGTCTCAAACGTGGCTTTGCTTCTACTCAAAATTAGTCACTTGCCACAGCTCTGGAAGTCTCTAGATTGTCAATGAATAAATATAAACAAATACGAATCATTATTTTATTAACAAGATTAAGGACTAAACAGGGTAGTTGCTAAGGCCATTTCTAGTAATAACATTTTCTTGTCTTTGGAGGCATCTGCCCGTATTCCTTTTTTTGTGATTAGAGAGAAAAAAATGCACTATAATAGTTTTGGTCATGTTTTTCTATTTTCAGGGTGGTTTTTTTGTTTTTGTTTTTGTTTTTGTTTTTGTTTTGTTTTCTTTGAGGTGGAGGGGAGTCCATGTAGAAGTGTTAGCAACTGCAAATAAAAACTATTGCATTGTTTCAGGTTAAATCACTTACCCTGCTGTGAAGCAATTAGAATCCATTTTGCTATTGAGCACAGCTAGGTGCTTAATAAAAGGGTCACAGGTAAAGACACACACACACACACACACACACACACACACACACACACACACCAGCCACTCAGTTCTGTAAACAGAAGGAGCCCTTAGCCAGCTGTGGAAAATGGTCACTACCCTGACTCTGGACAAGAAGGACCACCTCCCCAATCTCCACTCCCCATCTTAGAAAGACTACAGAGTCTTAGAATTTACGGCCTATAAAAGTGAAATAAGCGATAGCATGCATTTTTAAAAAATGCTATTTTATTAAATTTTATTTTACATGATAGAGAATGTTGCTACAGTTTTTACATACATGATAAATCTCTCACTTTTCTTATTTGTTGGCAACTGATGAAAGTCAAAAACAATTTATCACCTGCTGAGGCCACTCGTATATAAAACTAAGCCTGCTCTTATCCACTGTGCTTTAAATCAAAACTACATATCTAACACACTCTCCCTTGCACATCCACACTCTGAGAAAGAAAAGGCAAACATAATAAATGTATTCCCAGAAACAGAGGCAGTCCCTCATTCAGCCAAAGCACGGTGTTCTCTCCCACATTTACCTGTATTGTCTTTCTTAAAGTATAATGGAGAAGCAGTCCAGACTTCTGATGGTGTCATCCAAGTCTGGAGACTGTTTCATTTACCATTTAGTTAGTTGCCAACCTTTGCTTAAGAGTACTCAAAACACATAAACATGAATCATTGTCTAAAGCACAACATAGAGTTCTTTTTCTGTTAAAAAAAAAAAAGATGTTATATTTGTGCAAGAATAGGAAAGGACTGCAAAAGTTATTTTTGCTTTATTTATTTGTTTGTTTATTGAGACAAAGTTTCTCTCTTGTTGCCCAGGCTGCAGTGTAATGGCACAATCCGGTCTCCCTGCAACCTCCACCTCCTGGGTTCAAGAGATTCTCCTGCCTGAGCCTCCTGAGTAGCTGGTATTACAGGCGTGTGCCACCACCCCCAGCTAATTTTTGTATTTTTAGTAGAGACAGGGTTTCACCACGTTGACCGGGCTGGTCTTGAACTCCTGATCTCAGGTGATCTGCCCACCTTGGCCCCCCCAAAGTGCTGGGATTACAGGCATGAGCCACCGTGCCCAGCCTATTTTTGCTTTTACAATCTCAATCTGTTAAATATGAAGATTCCATAAATGGTAAAATTCACATATATGTAATTTTTAAAAACAATGAACGTGCTAAACAGAAAATATGTTAATAGGCCTGTATATTGTTAAGAAACTTCTATTTTAATTCTACCCACCTGGAATACAAATTTCTAAAGCTGAGCTTTGTCATAATCCTAAAATCATGCTGGAATTACTGCTTATGTCGGAAGTGTTCTATAGTGTCTTAATTTTATAAAGGGAAAGCAATTCGCATTTCCTATGTATACTTTGACTATGACAATGGTTGGTTGCGTGCTTTTTTGAGTCCCTGTGGCTATTGCCCATTAGTCCAGTGGAGAAAGACAATGACTCCCTGGCATAGCAATTTATCATACTACCGCTAGGTCTGAATTCCATATTCAGCCACCACATATGAAACCATTCCACAAAGAAGTCAAAGAAAGCCAGCTGAACTTGAAAACCAATCAAATATCTTGCATCAGTTACTGTTGAGCACGGCAAGAACATGTTATTCCTTTAATTGTTTTGTCTGAGAGAGTCCATCTCACCATGTAAATCAAGGTGTAATTCATCTGCCTCATATATGCCCCCAAGGATTTTTTTTTCCTTTTTCATGTGCTAGGACATAGAATAAAGCAAAAAACCTTCAATAAAGGTACTTCAAGAATGGCAAAGGAAGGCCAAGTGAATTTGGCCTTACATTATTAGCTTCATTGAAAGAGTTAAAAATATTTCTCTAATATTAACAAGGAATTAATAGAAGAGGCATTCATTTATTTCTTTTTCCAACAAATAGATGAGATCTGTCCTGCTAACTGGGGTCTGGTACACTCAGGGGCCATAACTTAATCTACTCTTTGCAATCATAATGGTGAGTTTGGTTTCGTCAGCACTCTAAATCAAGGGAAACGATCATTTCAATGAATTAGATTGCTTACATCTCTAAGAATATGGTTGGAATGGCAACAACTTCACCAAATCCAATCTCTTTGCAAAGCCAGGAGTCAAGAGATTTATCATTGCCAATGCTGGCGATTAGAAAGTGTAATTCGTCAATGCCATTTAGTGGTCAGTGAATGAATGGATCAGACCTATCTAGAAGCTGGCTTTTAATGTTAAAAGGGGAATTCACCTAGACAGATAATCTATTTCTCAAAAGAAATTGACTTTAAAAAGTCTATTTGATTGTATCCAGATCCATTTATTATTTGTATTTGGAAATGCCCTATCTAGCTGGTTTTCCAAGCCCCTAATTCCTCTCTACTGGCTCTCTGACCTCTGAGAACATTTACTTATTGGAAGCATTCTCACGGCTATTCAGAAAGCCAGATAAATATAAAATGGGTAGGAGAGAAAACCTCACTTTTAGGCTGCTTCCCCTACAGTAGGCCACCCTGAAGAATTTTCAAATGAAAAGGTAACTTATGGCTAAGAAACAGAATATGATTGATATGGTTGAATCATGCAATCCAGACTGACCTGACAGGCTTATTCTGCCATATCTATAGTCAAGTGACTTAAAGAGGTCAGAGCTGGCCAAAGAATAACCTGTTCAGCCTTGTTATAATTCTACTAATACATTTTGGTTTTCTATTGAAGTTGAAATTGTCTCGTCTGACACTTTTAAAGCACATAAAATAATTTATTGGAGCCCACGTGGAAATACATGTATTAGGAGCATACCTGGAAAATATATTTCATCATGGCCTTTGCTGCAGCATGGATGCAGCTGGAGGCCATTATGCTAAGTGAATTAACGCAGGAACAGAACACTAAATGCTGCATGTTTTCACTTACAAGTCGGAGCTAAGCATTGGATATTCATGAACATAAAGAAGGCAACAATAGACACTGGAGACTACTAGAGGGAGGACAAAGGGGTGGGGAAGGCTTGAGAAACTATTGGGTACTATGCTCACTACCTGGGTGGTGGGATCAGTCCTACCCTAAACCTCAGCATCACACAATATACCCAGGTAAAAAACTTGGATATGTATCCCTGAACCTAAAATAAATGTCGAAATTACTTTCTTTAAAAAAAGAAAATATATTTCAGATCGAGTTCCCTTAGCCATTCTTTAGAGACATCTTTTAAACCACAAGATTACTAATGGTATGACTTCCAAAAACTATTATACGTTAAGTCAATTTCTCCATTATTTAAGTGAATATACTCGTGGGCATTTTATAAGTATATTATCTTCCCTGCCCTCTTCCCCACACCTTTTTTCTCTGTCCCAACCTCTCTAATTTACCATCTCTTTCAATTAAGAATTTGTTTCCATAGGAAGTATAACTGTTTCACAAAGTAAATTACTATCATGCACTCGCTCGCATTGCGGAAATATTTTCCTTCAGGAAATCCACCTCATGATTCAATTATTCTTTTAAAACTGGATTATTTTTTAATATATATTCAAGCCAGTACTACCTAAAGAGTTATCTTTGGGCAGATGTCAGTCTTCAAATTGTTACTGATCTACAATGTAATGAGATTGTGCCAGGATGTAAATCAGTTACATTACTAGGCACACCTGTGTTCAACTACATTTTCACCATAGCATGACTCTCAATGAAGTACCATATGGATTTACCTTTTGGTGCACAGTCCATGTCTTGTCATCTGCCATTAATAAGCAGTTAAGGGCAACCACTTTGAATGACAAAAGCTATTTAGGACTAACTGGCTTTATGCCTAATCTGATTCTAAAATCTGGGGATTTAATACATCTATCACTCTAGGAAATTGGAACATAGGCCATTCTCTGTCTTCTCAGTCCTCCTCTTCCTTTTCCACCACTGAGCCATTTCAATGCCATATGTACCATGTCATTCATTCATCCCCTTTTTCAGACATTCGTCCTATGTTTAAAGAGTGTTACCACACACAAAATAATTGTTCTCATAGAGTATACATTCTACTGAAAGACAACACCAGATAACCAAGTCAAATACATAAAGTATTCTCAGAAACTCTAAATGCCATGAGAAAAACAAAACTTCGGGGCATGGCGTGGCGTATCTGTACTGCTTTAGAATGATTATTTGAACTGGAAGCTGGATGATGAGGAGGAATCATCCAGCAGAGATACACAATTTCTGTTTGGGGCAGAAAAAAAACAACTAGTACAAAGGTGCTAAGGTGAGATGAGCTCAGCATATAAGAAGAATAAGAAAGGGCTTGGCAGGACTGGATTATAGTGAGCAAGGAGGGGATGGTCTAGGCCTGTACTAGAGAAAACCACCAATCACACCTCCTTCTTGTACCCACTAGTCATCAAATCATCAAACTGGCATCATCACTGAAGCATGTGTGTTTCCTTCTAAATTGTTTAACCCTTCCAACATTAACTGACAGAATTATTGAGATCAAGAAGCTAGTATCATGTCTAGAATAAGAATACTGGTAGTTAATAATTCAATGCTTCTGACTTGTCTGAGAGCATAAGTTACTTTAAAATAATTCCTTAGGACTCAGAAATCCTAAGTAAGTGAACACACCTCTGGGGCCTAAAAAATCACCACCTTGTGGAAATGACATACGAATGAGCAGTTAGACCAGGGCCTGCAAACTTCACTGTTTTAGAGGCCAGAAACAGCATAAATAGGTCAAATGGTCAGAGTGACAGGGCAGGTCTGATGACAAATAGCCACCAACACATGTGAAATGATAGGAGTGAGGGGATTGTGGTGAAGTGGAAAAAAATGTGCCCTTTCTATAAGTGTCAGCCACCACGGTGTTCCAGCCAATAATATTCATGTGTGCATGTGGGCCTAGTGTGGTCAGACCTTCTGATTTGGTCATGAAAAGCTAGACTCTGGGATTTGGAGATGAACACACATGATCATTTTAGAAGCTGGCGGTTGGGCATGGTGGCTCACGTCTGTAATCCCAGCACTTTGGGAGGCCGAGGCAGGCGGATCACGAGGTCAGGAGATCGAGACCATCCTGGCTAACACGGTGAAACCCCGTCTCTACTAAAAATACAAAAAATTAGCCAGGCCTGGTGGCGGATGCCTGTAGTCCCAGCTACTCGGGAGGCTGAGGCAGGAGAACAGCGTAAACCCGGGAGGCAGAGCTTGCAGTGAGCTGAGATTGCACCACTGCACTCCAGGCTGGGCGACAGAGCGAGACTCCATCTCAAAAAAAAAAAAAAAAAAAAAAAAAAAAAAAAAAAGGTTCGCAAGTGACAAAAAAAACACAATACAAACAAAACAACTTCAGGCTTTCATTAGCTCATTGACTGCTGGTTTTCAAACATTGATTTAATTTCAGCTTATGTAAGACATAAATAGCCATGACCATCTTACTCTATGTTAACTTTTATGAATGTCTAGGGAGGCTGTGTTAGTCTTTTTTTGCATTATGACAGTTTACGCTTGGTCCTAATATTTTACAAAAGTTACACATCCAGCAATGGGTTCCGTCACCGCATTTATCAAAGCTCTGGGAATTTCAAGTTCTTTTTAACATGTTAGTAAATATATATCAAATCCAGCAAGTTAGTCAGCTAAATGAGACTTAGTTCTAAGACAAAGAGATTGATGCCACAAGGATATATTTTAATGCTTAATACTCTTATTTGTAATATCTATTATTACTTGAATGAATAACCGTCTACTACCTGTTGATAGTCATTCATCTAACAAAAACACTGCTAGTGACAGCAGCAGATTGCTTCCTATGCTATTTAATTCAACAAAATCATCTCAGTTTAAACAGAAAAAAAAAGAGAGACGAAAAGAAAGATGGCAATTGAATCACTCTGATTTCCATTTTCAATCACTAACTAGCCCCTGGTGTCTGCTACATTAGCCCTCCAGAGTGAGACTGGCCACACGTAATGGGAGGAGGGTTGCTAGGAGGCAGGGTCGCCTACCGGGGACTGGGTTTCTCCGGATTCCCTGGGTGGCAGCACGCTAGTTCTGGCTGAATTCCACGAGCTACATGGGGCAGCTGAACTCTCGGAAGTTGAATGCTCGGAAATATTACAGCACAAGACAGCCGTCAGCAGTTCATGGGGAAATATCTGTTACGGGAGTGTCAGTAATCTTAGGTACCCTGTTATTATCACTCACTAGTCAAGAGACCCTGGATGCTTTTTGTCACACATTTCCCGTCTGGTCACCGTGAAGTTATGACCATTGGGTTACATACAGTATGAGATGTGTGTATGTGTGTCTCTAGGCATGAGGGTCTGTTTTTCCCTTGCTAGTGGTTATTTTAATAGAAAAATTTCATGTCTGACCTATACCTGGCTGCTGTCCAAGAATTAAATATAGCAATTTGTTACAGTAATATTCCTCCAGAGTCCTTCAGCAAGAACACAAACTATTTATTTTAAGTTATGCTTAAAGGTGTATTTCATTTTTAAGTCTCATCTCTGGCACACGAAGTATTCTGAGGAGCTTTCACTGTCTTCAGTAGCACAAGCAATTTACCTCAATAGCTTTTTCCTCAGCCTGGCACCTCTTTCTCACCGGTGTTTACCATTTGAATAATCACATGTGAGTTTGGTTTGCGATTATTTTATCTGGGGAAAAAACAACAACAACAACGATTGCACATAGGGAAATAATATTTCTCCTCCTTCCCCCCAACCCCATCAAGACGTTCTACTACATTTTTTGTCAAGGAAAAAAAAGTCACAATACAATGTCAAAATAAATAATTTCATTGTTAAATGCACATCAACTTTACTAAATTATTCTGAATTTCTAGCCAGATGCTTTAAATACATTTTTTTAGGCAGTGTATGCAATTTCTATTCTTTTCTTGTTTCGGATGCTGTCATGATTTTAGAAGTCAGGTGTAATGTACACATTGAGAATATTTGAGGTGCAGCATTTTTTTAGTACTTTCAGCTATCTTTAGTTTCCTAAGGCTGCTGTAACAAATTATCACAAACTGGGTGGCTTAAAACAACAGAAATCTATTCTCTCATGTGTCTGTAGGCTAGAAATCAGAATTCAAGGTGTTGGCAGGACCGCTGTCTTGCTGAAGTCTCTAGAGGAAAATTATTCCTTGTCTCATCCAGCTTCTGTTGATTCCTGTCATTTCTTGGCTTGTGGCAGCATTAAGTGCAGCCTCCGTCTCTGTCTTCACACAGCCTTCTCCCCTCTGTGTCTCCGGTTCAAAGCTCTCTCTGCCTTTCTCTTATAAGGATACCAGCCCCTGGATTTAGTGTCCACCTTAATTCCAGGACGGGCTTCTATTGAGATTTAATTACATCTACAAAGCCCTAATCTAAATAAGGGCACATTCTCAGATTCCAAGTGGTCATATCTTTTGGGAGCCACAAGCAAACCACTGCAGGTTGATTTAGGTTAATTTTTTCAGAGTAACAGAGCTATCATCTGTTTTTCTTGAATAATTTTTTCTTCCTCCTATTAAAATTTTTTTTTGTTTTATAGGATTTATAAATAAGCTTCAGAAAGTAAAGATGACAATGATTTTCTGAACAACTTCTAGTTGCATTTAGTGGAAGAAAAGTAGTTTTATATTGAGAGAAAAATGACAGGAATATATAATTTTTAAATTTTATTGTGCCCTGTATATTAATTACACAATATCAAACATAATACACTATTAAATTATATATTATTCAATCATGTTGTTTTATACAGTATATGTTTTACATATTATTATATGTACAGTTGTATGTTTAATTGATTGCTGTACCACTATTAAATATCACATTTTTGAAGAATATTTAATGATACAGGAAAGTGTGAAAAACTTTGGAGAAATAAATTAATCCACATATTATATTTGTCTATATATTTCAGCAGTTATTACCTCTGGTTGATGGTACTTTGTAATTTGTAGTCTTTTTTTGTTTTCAGATTTTTCAGGTTTAGATTAATAATTGAAAAAAAGTGATTTTTTAAAACCTTACATATATAGACAATCATTTCCAAAACTCTTACTTTTTAGGCTGGGAATGATTTTTCCCTTTTTACTATTGTCTGTTTACACTAAATTAAAAATGAGATAAAGTAACAGGTAGCGTGAATTTGTGTAGCATTTCCTGTGATCCTGATCATTCACTTACTTATTCACTCACTGAATGCTTACAATGTTCCTGCCCTCTACTCCATATAGGGAAAGAGATATGAATAAGTCATGGTTCTTACCCTCAAGGAAACTGCTCTAGATTATAGAAGATAGTCAAGGTAA
Source organism: Homo sapiens (assembly GCF_000001405.40). Lineage (NCBI taxonomy): Eukaryota > Metazoa > Chordata > Mammalia > Primates > Hominidae > Homo > Homo sapiens. The sequence continues at coordinate 165,994,439 of NC_000005.10, read as the reverse complement.
AGCAAAAACTGAAGTGCAGTGTGATAGGAGGTCAGGCAGAGGTCTGTGCAAAGTCCCAAGGGAACACAGAAGGCGGACACAAAATACAGACCCGGGGGAACCTGGGTGTTTCCAAAAGGGGGTGTCAGCAGAATTGAATGCTGAAGTAAAGCACAAGGAGGGAATGAAAGGGACATTCCAAACAGTGGGAGCAATAAGTTGAGGGGCCTGAAAGCCCTGAAGTTTTGAAGGTAGTCAAGGAGGTTTGGGGAGTAGTGAGAGATAAGGAAGAGGATACAACATGTGCATAAACTTTGCTTGGAAGTTTCTGGAGAACCAAAGAAGGCTTGAAAATGGGAGGCATGTGGACATATTGAATTTTTTAACAGGATCACTCTGGCAAGAAGAAGGTGTATTGATGGGCATGCTGGCAGCAGGAACATCAACTTAGAGGTAGGTAAGAGATGCAGTTCTGGAAAGAGGTAGCTGCAGTGTTATCTGAAGTAGTACGTGGACTGGAGGTGCATTTAGAAGGAGGCATTGGTTCTGTACTGGTTAAAAAGTATGTGGAATATGAAAGAGTAGCATATGAATCCTCATCTCTGGCTTGGGCAATACTTCTCATGATGGTGCCTTTCCCTGAGATGGGGAACAGAGTTGAGCAGTTTTGGTGAACAGGATGAAAAACAACAGATGTGGAATGCTTAATTGAATTGGACATTCATAGGTCATATTTAAGTCCATGTTTTAAGTGCCTAAAAGGTAGTTGAATTTTTTGGACCCAAAGCCCAGAGGAACGTTATGATCTGGAGGTTAGCATTATGGAGATACTAGAATATAGATGAAACAATATACACAAATAGGGAGAATGTATAGCACAAGGATTTTTGTGGAAGGATTTTTGTACTTGCTTGGTTCTACATTGAGGGAAGGAGATGACTCTACTTTTTTTTTTTTTTTTTTTTTTTTTTTTGTCAATTTTTAAGTTCTTATTGCTCTGCAAATAGTTCTTATACTAAGCCCTGCTGTAAGATGGATGTTGAAGGAGGAAACTCAGGTTTATCACATAATTAAAATGTGTGTCCAGGAGCAGGGATCAGGGGAGAAGAACATACGAATGAGACCAAAAAAGAGTGGCCAGGAGGAAGGAGGGAAAATAATTAGAAAATAGAGACAGGCAAGAGAGCTTTAAGGAAAAAATAGTTGCAGTCAAATGCACTGAAGAGGTTTTTTAAAAAAAAGAACCAAAAGTAAGTTTGGAGTACGAAAATCAAAACTCACTGATATATACAAACATTTTCTGACATTTAAAGACATATATTGGAGTGTTTAGGGGTGATGTTTCATTATAACATGGGATTTACTTGAGATTATGTTAGAACAAAAAGTGTTGAAGTAAATATGGAAAAATTTCCACAGCAGTTACATTCAGATGATATGTTATGGAGTTGATTACGTAGTCTCTCTAATTTTATTCATGTTTGAACATTTTCATAATGAAAAAATAAAAGTAAAAATTGAGAAATTAATTTTTGTACACTTTGCCAGAATAGGTTCCCTGTAGAGCATTAGCAACAGTGGAATCTAGGTTTCAAAGCGAAGTTTTCCAGTTCTATTTCTATGACTTATTTTAAATTGCCATCTCGCTCTTCCGACCTCCCCATCTCTTTCCAGCACACATTTGGAAACTTATTATTACTACCACTCTGTATGTTGTAATTCATATGCACAAATCAATTTGGGAAAATACAAGTTTATGTGATGGGATAGGCATTAACTGGTCGTGTGTCAAATAACATTTTCTGTCAAGCCTGGAAGGGGTATAATTTTCAAGAGAAACCAGGTTCATTTTAGGAAATACTTCAAGAAACATGGTGTTTTGAAGTATTTTTCCCCTCCACGTTGATCAGCTTTTCTTTTTTTTAAATACGGGCTGAAACCTCAAAACAGCCTGTGAGTATTTCAGGTTGGCATAAGCATATGTAAATGATTATCTGCTTTTGAGCATAAAGATATACATAGACACACCGAGAGACAAGATTTTTCCTTTTGCAAATGGCAGTGCTTTATGGCAGATTGCCAGAACTCACAGAGGCATGTTATCACACTGTCAAGAGGCATTGTACCACTGAGGAAAGATACCGGTTTTAGGTATTGTATAGAGTAATTGTGGTATAGGTACTTCAATTGATAAAAGAGGGGAAATTTTGGCAGTACATCAATAGCAGTATAATTAAGGTAATAGGTAGCGTGCCATCTAATCAAGTTACTTACTGTAATACCAATGTGGGTTAACTTGCTTTAACATCCTCTGAATACTAATTACTATTACTTTCAGAATTTTATAATATGCAATATATTGAACAGAATTTAACGTAGCTGAATAATAATTATTATACCAATAAATAAAATAGTTATTACCCAAGAAACATACCGTAGCTTGTTTTAATAGATGACTTCGAAGGTACTCCAGTTACAAACCACCATGACATTAGAGAATGTAGCCTATGTCTCATTTTAAAAGATGCCTTAATGTAAACATCATATCCTCTATCTCTAATATAGTTTGTGTAAGGCTGATTTTTATCAGAAATTGAAATTTAACTTAAAAATCAAGGTTTTACATTTGAAAAGGCATTAAAAAAATCTCCATTGAGTAAGTTGTCATCTCTATTTGTGTAAGGGAGTTGGTGACTGATGTATTTCCTTGCAATGATTATTTTTCCAATTTCAATTATAGTTGGTCAATTCCCACTTTTAATATAGGCTCCTGATCAAAGCCTTCCATCCTAAAAAAAAAATGGGACTTAGATAATTAGTGCTTAAAATCCAAGTTTCTTGCCTTATTCTTTTCATTTATCCCTCTTTCTTGTGCTTTCAACACTTACACAATTCAGCCAGGTTCTTTGCCACTTTATAACAAGGATGGCCTTTTCTCCAATTTCCCATAATATGTCCCTAATTTTCATCTGAAAACTTATCAGAATGACCTTTACCATCCATGTATCTATCAACATTCTTCTCATGATTATTTACGTATTCTCTAAGAAGATAGAGGCTTTTTCTCTAGCTCTCTACTTTTTTTTCTGAGCTCTCCCAGAATCACTTTTTAAAATCCCTTTATGGTGACTACTAATAAAAAGTCAAAAAATAACAGATGCTGGAGAAGTTGCAGAGAAAAGAGAATTCTTATACACTGCTGGTGGGAATGTAAATTAGTTCAGCCACTGTGGAAAGTAGTTTGGTGATTTCTCAAAGAACTTAAAACAGAACTATCATTTGACCCAGAATCCTGTTATTGGGTATCTACCCAAAGGAATATACATGATTCTGCTATAAAGAGACATGCATGCATATGTTCATCGCAGCATTATTCAGAATAGCAAACACATGGAATCACCCTAAATTCCCATCAGCAGTAGACTGGATAAACAAAATGTTGTACACAGACACCATGGAATATTATGTAGCCATAAAAAGAACAAGATCACATCCTTTGCAGCAACATAGTTGGACTGGAGGCCATTATCCTAAGCGAACTAATGCAGGAACAGAAAATTGAACACCACCATGTTCTCACTTATAGCAGGAGTTAAACACTGAACACATATGGACACAAAGAAGGGAACAATATGTATCGGGGCCTTCTTGAGGATAGGGGGTGGGAGGAGAGTGAGGATCCAAGAACTACCTAATCAGTATTATGCTTATTACCCGGGTGATGAAATAATATGTACACCAAACTCCTGTGACACACAATTTATCTATAGAACCAACCTGCACATGTATCCTGAAACTAAGAGTTAAAAAAAAATTCCTTCATGACAATATCAGCATTTTCTAGCATGCTCCTTGAAACACTTCCAGCCTCTCCTCATTACAAAGTTTTAAAGCTGTTTCCACATTTTAAAGTATTTGATCCTTTAGTACATGACTCCATGGTATCAATCTCTGTCTTAGTCTGTTCAGGCTACCATAACAGAAAATACCATGGACTAGGAGTTTTAAACAGAAATTAACTTTCTCACAGTTCTGGAGGCTGGGAAGTCCAAGACCAAGGGAGCAAGCCAATTTGGTTCCTATTGAAGTCTCTCTCCTCAGGTTGCAGGTGCCAACTTCTCTCTCTGTGGCATCTCATGACCCTTCCTCAGTGTGCATGTAGACCAAAGTGGGGGGGGCGGGGAGAGAGAGAGAGAGAGAGATCTCGTGTCTCTTCTTATAAAGATAATAATCCTTTTATGAGGGATTTACTTTCATGACCAAATTAACTCCAAAGGGCCCATCTCCAAATAACTCCACAAACAGGGTTGAGGTTTCAACATATACATTTTTTGGGAGGGGGGCACAATTTATTCCATTGTACTTCCCAATCAAAGTTAAAGATAGAATGAATTGATAGGTAGTATCTAACTACATGCTCTCTACAAGAGATTCACTTTAATTGCAAAGACATGCATAGATTGAAAGTGAAAGGATGGAAAATGATATTCCATGAAAATAGTAACCAAATGAGAGCAGGGGTAGCTATATTAATATCAGGCAAAAATAGCCTTAAGTCAAAATTCTTAAAGATACAAAGGATATTACATAAGGGTCAACTTGCCAAGAGGATATAAGAATTATAAAATATATACACTCAACATGTAACCTCCTAAATATATGAATCAAACATTGACAGAATTGAGGGAAGAAGAGAAAGTTCTACAATAATAGAGGGTTTCAATATCCCTCTTTCAATAATAGAGAGTATAGTCAGCTAGAAGATTAATGAGGGAATAAGATGAAACACTATAGGTTAATTGGACCAAAACACATATACAGAACAGTCTAACAATAGAAGAATATAGGAATACCTGAGAGATACTGGGTTTGGCTCCAGACCTCCCCAATAAAGTGAGTCACACAATTTTTTCTTGTTTTTCAGTGCAAATAAATGTTGTTTATGCTATACCATTGTTTATTAAGTATGCAACAGCATTTTGTCTAAAAATGTAAATACTTAATTAAAAATGCTGTATTGCTAAAAAATATTAATGATCATAAGTGCCTTCAGTGAGTCATAATCTTTTTCCTGGTGGAGGGTCTTGCCTTGTTGTTGATGGCTGCTGACTGATCAGGGTGTTGGTTGCTGAAGGTTGATATGTCTGTGGCAATTTCTGAAAATAAGGGCTTTCCCCATTGATGGACTTTCTTTCACAAAATATTTATCTGTAGCGTGCCATGCTATTTGATAGCATTTTACCCACAGTAGAACTTCTTTCAAAATTAGAGTGAATCCTCTCAAACTCTGCCACTGCTTTATCAACTAAGTTTATGTAATATTCAAATACTTTGTTGCCAATGTTCACAATATCTTCACCAGGAGTAGATTCCATCCAAAAATCCAATTTTCTTTGATCATCCATGAGAAGCAACTCCTCATTTGTTCAAGTTTTAAGATTGTAGCAATTCAGTCACATTTTCAGGCGCCACTTCTAATGCCAGTTCTCTTGCAATTTCTACCTGACTTCTGCAGTTACTTCCTCCACTGAAATCTTGAACCCCTTAAAGTCATCCATGAGGATTGGAATCAATTTATTTCAAACTCCCATTAATGTTGATATTTTGACCTTCTCCCATGAATCACAAATGTTCTTAATGGCATCTACAATAGTGAACTCGTTCCAGAAGGTTTTCAATTTACTTTGCTCATATCCATCAGAGGAATCACTATCTATGGCAACTATAGCCTTACACATTACAGTTCTTAAATGATAAAACTTGAAACTCAAAATTACTCCTTGATCCATGGGCTACAAAATAGATACTGTGTTAGCAGGCATAAAAACAATATTGATCTCTTTGTTCATCTTTTTTTTTTTTTTTTTTTTTTTTTTTTTTTTTTTTTTTTGAGATGAAGTCTCACTCTGTTGCCCAGGCTGGAGTGCAGTGGCGCAATCTTGGCTCACTGCAACCTCCGATTCTCCTGGTTCAAGCGATTCTCCTGCCTCAGCCTCCCAAGTAGCATGCACAGGCATGCACCACCACACCTGGCTAGTTTTTTAATTTTTTTAGTAGAGACGGGGTTTCACCATATTGGCCAGGCTGTTCTCGAACTCCTGACCTCGTGATCTGCCCGACTCAGCCTCCCAAAGTGCTGGGATTATAGGCATGAGCCACTATGCCCGGCTCTCCTTATTCATCTTTATCAGAGCTCTTGGGTGACTAAGTGTATTGTCAATGAGCAGTAATATTTTGAAAGAAACTTTTTTTTTTCTTTTTCTGAGCAGGTTTCAGCAGTGGACTTAAAATATTCAGTAAACCATGCTGTAAATAGATGTACTGTCACCCAGGCTTTGTTGTTTCATTCACAGAGCACAGGCAGAATACATTTAGCATGATTCTTAAGGGCCCTAGGATTTTCAGAATGCAAAATGAGACTTGGCTTCAGCTTTAAAGTCGCTGGCTGCATTAGCCCCTAATAAAAGAGTCATCTTGTTTTTGGAAGCTTTGAACCCAGGTATTGACTTTCTCTCTCTAGCTATTAAAGTCCTATATGGTATCTTCTTCCAATAGAAGGCTGTTTTCATCTTCACTGAAAATCTGTTATTCAGTGAAGCCATCTTCATCAATGATCTTAACTAGATCTTCTGGATTACTTGCTGCAGCTTCTACATCAGCATGTGCTGCTTCACCTTGCACTTTTATGTTATGGTAACAATTTCTTTTCTTAAACCTCATGAACCAACGTCTGCTAGCTTTAATTTTTTTTCTGCCACTTCCTCCCCTCCATCAGTCTTTACAGAATTAAAGAGAGTTAGGGCCTTTCTCTGGATTAGGCTTTGGTTTAAGGGAATGTTGTGGCTGGTTTGATCTTCTATCCAGATCACTAAAACTCTCCATGTCAGCAATAAGGCTGTTTTGCTTTCTTATCATTTGTGCACTCACTAGAGCAGCACTTATAATTTTCTTCAAGAACTTTTTCTTTACATTCACAATTTGGCTGTTTGGGACAAGAGGCCTAGCTTTTAGCCTATCTCAGCTTTCAGCATGCCTTCCTCACTAAGCTCAATTATTTCTAGCTTTTTATTTAAAGTGACAGTCCCATGACTCTTTCCTTACTTGAATGCTTAGAGACTGTCATAACGTTATTAATTGTCTTAATATTATTGTATCTCAGGGAATAGAGAGGTTGAAGGAGAGGGAGAGAGACATGAGGACAGCTAGTCAACAGAGCAGTCAGAATACACATAACATTTAAGTTTGCCATCTTATATGGGCATGCTTTGTGGCACCCCAAAACAATTACAATAGTGACAATAAAGATCACTATCACAGATCAGCATAACACATATCATGATAATGAAAAAGTATGAAATACTGTGAGAATTACCAAAATTTGACATAGAGACATGAAGCAAGCACATGCTGTTGGAAAAATGGCACCAACAGTTTTGCTCCACATAGGATTGCCATAAACTTTCCATTTGCAAAAAACACTGTATTTGCAAAGCCCAACAAAGTGAAATATATGAAAATGAGGTATGTCTGTGTATATTTTTCTTAAGTGCACGTGGCATGTCCTCTGGGGTAGACCATATGCTAAGCTACACAACCAGTCTTAATACATGTGAAAAGACTGAAATTATACTAAGTATCTTTTACAATCACAATACAATAGAACTAGAAATTGACAACAGAAGTATAGCTAGAAAGTCCACAAGTAGGTGGAAATTAAACAGACTTAAACAACCAATGGGCCAAAGAAGAAATCAGAAAAGAAATTAGAAAAAGCCTTGAGACAATAAAAATGAACACATGGCATAAAAAACTTATGGAAATAGAAAAAGCAGTGCTGAGAGGGACAATTTATAGTTGTAAATACTTAAATTAAAATAAATACTTCAGGTCAATCCGCTCGGGTCCCCTTCCACACTGTGGAAGCTTTGTTCTTTCACTCTTTGCAATAAATCTTGCTGCTGCTCAAAAAATAAATAAATAAATAAATAAAATAAAATATTTCAAATTAACAACCTACCTTTATGTCTTAAAGAACTAGAAAAAGCAAAGCAAATTAAACCCAAAGCTAGCAGAAGAAAGGAAATAATAAAGATGACAGCAGAGATAAATAAAATAGAATATCAGTGAAGAAAATTAGCAAAATCAAGTGTTGGTTCTTTGAAAGAGCAACAAAATTGACAAGACCTAAGCTACATGAACTAAGAAAAAAGAAAAAAATAAAATCAGAAATGAAAGGGGGGGGGGGCATTACTACTAATTCTATGGAAATTATAAAAAAGATTTTAAATACTTTGAAAAATTGCATGCCAACAAATTGGATAACCTAAATAGAATGGACAATTTCCTAGAAATACAACTTATAAAGACTGAATCACGAAGCTATAAAAAATACGAATAGACTGAAAACTGGTATAGACATTGAATCAGTAATAAAATGCTTCCTGACAAAGAAAAGCTCAGGACCAGATAGATTCACTGGTGAATTCTACAATGTAAAGAAGAATTAACAACAATTCTTCTCAAATTCTTCTAAAAAACTAAAGAGAAGGGAACATTTCCCAACTTAGATAGTGAGGCCAGCATTACCATCATATCGAGTCCAGACAAACTAGTTATCAGAAACAAAAACCCTCCAAAACAATATTACTAATGATAGTGAGGTGAACATCCTCAGGTAAACACTAGTCAACCAAGTTTAACTGCATATTAAAAGGATTATACGTTATGACCAAATTAGATTTATTCCTGGAATATAAGAATGAATCACCATACAAAAATCAACAAATGTACTACACCAGATTAACAGAATGAAGGGAAAAAATCCATATAATCATCTCCAATGTTGCAGAAAAACATTCAACAAGATTCAACACCCTTTCATGATAAAAAACATTCAACAAGCTAGGAATACAAGGAAACTACTTCAATATAATAAATGCCATCTATGCAAGGTCCACAGGGAACAACATACTCTGCCAAAAGAGTGAAAGTGTTTCCTCGAATATCTGGAACAACAAAAGGATTCCCACTTTTAACACTTTTATTCAACATAGTACCGGAAATCTTAGAGCAATTAAGAAAGAAAAACAAATACAAGACACCCAAATTGTAAAGGAAAGGGAAAATTATCTCTGTTCATAAACAACATAATCTTATAAGTAGAAAATACTACAGATTTTGAAAAACATCTTTTGGAACTAATAAAAAATTTAGCCAAGTTGCACAAATACAACTTCAACATACAAAATACAAAAGATAAAATTAATAAACAAAAATCAGTGCATTTCTATATACTAACAGTGAATTTCTCAACAGGAAACAAGAATACTCTAAGAAGGCAATTAAGATAACAATTTCATTTACAAAAGCATTAAAAATTAGAATATTTAGGAATAAACCTAACCAAGGGGTCAAAAGACTCATACACTGAAAACTACAAGATGTTGCTGACGTATATTGAAGAAACAAATAAAAATCTTTGTTTATAATTGGAAAACAATATTTTTAAGATGCCAATACTACTCAACACTATCTACAGATTTAATGCAATTCCTACTAAAACCCTAATAACATTTTTTTTGCATTAAGAATTGATACTTATAATATATGTAGAATCTCAACGGACCTTGCATAGCCAAAACAGTCTTGAAAAAAGGTTTCCCACTTCCTGATTTCAAAACTTACTGCAAAACTAGAGTAAGCAAAACAGTATGGTATTGACATAAGAACAGATATGCTGACCAATAAAATAAATTAGAGAGCTTAGAAATAAATCCTTTATATATGGTCAAATAATTTTTGACAAGGGTACAAGACCATTCAATGGGGGAAAGGTGAATCTTTTTAACAAATAGGTCTAGGAAGAGTGGATATTCACTTGTAAAATAATAAAATGGGACCCTCACCTTACCCCATTTACAAAAGTTAACTCAAAATGGATCACAGACTTAAATGTAGGAGGTAAAACTATCATACTCTTAGGAATCAAAGAGAAAAGCTTCATGACATTGGACTTGGCAGCAATTTCTTGGATATGACACCAAAAACACACGTGACAAAAGAAAAATAAATAAATTGGAATACATCAAATTTTAAAACTTTTGTGCAACAAAGAAAACTATGAAGAAAGTGAAAAAGTAACCATGGAATGTGAAAATATTTGCAAATTATATATCTGATAAGGGGTTACTATCCAGAATATATAAAGAACTCCTACAACTCAACAACAACAAAACAAACTGATTAAAACATGGGCACAGGAATTGAATAGACACTTCTCCAAAGAAGATATACAAATGGCCAATAAACACAGGAAAAGATGCTCAGTATCTCTAATCATTAGCAAAATGTGAATTGTGAAACTACCATAAGATATTACTTCACACACACTAACAATATTAAAAAAATACATAAAGTCTTATGTGGACAAGGATGTAAAGGAATTGTAAAACTTATTCATTGTTGTTGGAGAAGGTAAAATGGTATAGGCACTATGGAAAATAGCATGGTATTTCCTCATAAAAATGGAAATAAATTACCAAGTGATCCGGTAATTCTATGTCTGGATATATACCCAAAAGAACTGAAAACAGTGACTTGAATAGATTTTTGTACATCTATATTTATAGCAACATTATTTACAATAGCCAAAAGATGGAAGCAACCTACATGTCCATCAATAGACGAATGGATAAACAAAATGTGGTGTGTGGATGTGTGTGTGTGTGTATACACGTACACACAATGGGAAATTCTAACAGTTGCTAAAACATAAATGAACCTTGAAGACATTATGCTAATCGAAATAGGCCAGTCACAAATAGAAAAATATGACATGATTCCACTTATATGATTTACCTAAAGTAATCAAAATCATACAGAGATTAGAATAGCGGCACCAGGGACTTGGTGGGAATGGGGAATTGGGATTTTACTGTTTAATAAGTACAGAGGTTCAGTCTGGTAAAATAAAGAAAAGTTCAGGAAATGGATAGTGGTAATGTTTGTACGACAGTGTGGTTAATGCCACTGAACTGTACACTTAAAAATATTTAAATGGTAAATTTTATGTTATGTACATTTTACCACAATAAAGACATTTAAAAATTAAGAATTTTTTTTAATTGTAAATTTCAAGAGCTTTAGGAGTATAAGTGGTTTTTGGTTACATGGATGAATCGTATAGTGGTGAAATCCGGGATTTTAGTGTACTCATCACCTGAGTAGTGTACGTTGTATCCAATAGATAGTTTTTCATCCCTAATTCCCCACCCTCCCCCATTCAGAGTCTCCAATGTCCATTATACCACTCTGGATGCCTTTAAACACCCATAGCTTAGCTCCCGCTTAGGCGAACATGCAGTATTTTGTTTTTCATTCCTGAGTTACTTCACGATGCATAGTTTGCAAGTATTTTCTCTCATTCTGTAGGTTGTCTAGTTGCTTTGATGTGTGTTTCTTTTGCTGTGCAGGAGCCTTAAAAATTTAAGAATAGGCCAGGCGCAGTGGCGCACACCTGTAATCCCAGCACTTTGGAGGATAAGGCGAATCACTTGAGGTCAGGGGTTCGAGACCAGCCTGGCCAACATGGGAAACCCCATCTCTACAAAAAATACAAAAATTTGCAGGGCACGGTGGCACATGCCTGTAATCCGAGCTCAGGAGGCTGAGGCAGGAGGATCATCAGAGCCCAAGAGGCAGAGGTTGCAGTGAGCCGAGATGGTGCCACTGCACTCTAGCCTGGGTGACAGAGCAAGACCTTGTCTCAAAAGAAACCAAAAAAAACAACAAAAAAAACCCCACAATTAACAGTGCTGTAATCTTTCTGAAAACAGCAGGATTAATGACCATGTGCATAGTGAATGATAATATCCATAGCTTTTTTCCCCCGTAAATCTAGAATTGTAATAACTGATCCTTCATCTGAAAAGCAGGCGATTTTTAGAGATTTGCCTGGGGATTCTGATTAGCACAAAACAAGTGACTTAAAGAAACTACTGATATGAGGAACCCAAATTTACTGATGAGAATACCTTAACATGATCATATAATATTATCAGTGCAGGTAATTGTTGGTTTGCTCCTCAGTGAGGCTCTTGCTCATAAACTTTTAAATTCCGACCTCAAAAATTTTTTTTAAAGAACTTTGAGAGAGAGAAAGGGAGAGAGGGAAAATTAAAAACATGTCAAATATATAAAATAAAAATTCAATTTTCTTCATACTCTTCAATAACACCCGAAAGCTAGCAGGCAATGGAGCAATGCCTTCAACATTCTGAAGAAAAATGGCTCCAAGCTACAATTTTATACTTAGCCAAACTTTTAGTCACTTCCTAGGTTGAATAAAATATTTTCAGACTTGTGTGGTCTAAAAAATTCTTAGTTATCATCTACTCCCTTTTTAAAGAAAGTTATTGGAGGTTATGCTCCTCTGAAGGAGCAAATCAAGAAAGAAATCCTGGTCTGTAGGAAATATGCCACTGAACCCAGGAGAGAAGTGAAGGTAATCTCCAGGATGGTCTCAGGAGGGATTCCAGCGTGGCAGCTGTGTACCGATTACATAGAGCTGTGTACTCTCTGAGAGGCTTTTGGAGGAAGATGAAATGGACAGAATAGCTGATGTGCCTGGGTGTCTGGAAAGGAGACTTGCATAATTCATGACAAATCTCCTGGGATTTCCTAAGGATTACATAAAAAACTAAGTGTTATGGGCTGAATCAAATGTGGAAATCCTAATGCCCAATACCTCAGAATGACTGTGTTTGGTGATAGGGTCTTTAAAGAGGTAATTAAGTTAAAATGAACTAATTAGGGTTGGACCCAATTCAGTGGTACTGGTGCCCTTATAAGATGAGGAAATTTGAACACAGCCATGAACAAAGGGAAAACCATGTAAAGACATAAGGAGAAGATGGCCATCTACGAGCCAAAAGGCGAGGCTTGAAAAGAAACTAAGCCTTCTGACACCTTGATTTTGAACTTCTAGTTGCCAGATATGAGAAAATAAAATTCTGTTTTTTAAGCCACTGAGTCTGTGGTACTTTGTTATGGCAGCCCTAGCAAATGAATACACAAAGCCAAAAACAACAACAACAAAAACAAATCAACATAATTATTAAACAAAATGTTGTACAGGAAAGGAAAAGGATTTGAGCTAACCGTAATTATGATGGGAATATATTGGGAGAATGGGAGAGGATGATAAGAGTAAATGTGCTGTGGGAGAAGTCGCAGAAGAAATAAAGCAAAATATTCACCCTACCTAGAGGAATGATAATAGACAATGCTTTAAACTGAAAATTCATTGTCAGAATAACTTAATTTGAGGAATGGCAATAAACACTAAAATAACTGAAAAGAGCTGAAAATGGTTGTTTCTAGGAAGATGGAACTGAGGCCATCTATCAGTCCATGAATATTCTTGTGGAACACTTTAACAACACTAATATATAACTTTGATGCATAAAAACATACAATATATGACATATACTATCTACTGGATTATTTGTTAAATGTTACCGAGGAAAAATTCACACTATGGATGAGCTAAGTCATTCCCCTTGGTTCATAAATCTTGTTAAAGGCAGAACCAGAAATTGAAATCAAAATATAGGAGTCCCAACTTAGTATTCATTTTCCAAATGATACCACATGACCTGGACTTTCTAGAACCTTAAAACTGGAAAGCTATTTCTAATCCTAACATCTATGTAAGTGTTGAGAAGATTATGCCATAAGTATTAGGCACTACTGAGACGGCTGCTTCTTCAACTACATGGGTTTTAAGAGACAGCCATTAATTTTCAATTAAGAACCTTGAAGATTATACAAGTCTTAAGTTGGGTTTAAATAAAAATTTCATTCCATTCCAGGGTAATTAATTAACTTAGTACAAAAGCTAAAAGTAGTGAGAATGCATACCTTTATACTTTAAAAATAAATAACTGAACTTTTAAGACAGGCAAACTTATCCTGCTAGATTGAAATAAGAATACTTGAATCTTCCACCATACGTCTGTAAGAAGAGGTGATATTTTCAACCTATTGCTTCAAATCTGCATTAAATCAAAATAACAGCTTTACTTTATTCTCCGTTAATTGCAAGACAAAAATATTGAAAATTAACAAAATGATATTTGCACTTTTGTATATGATTATTTACATGTGATCAATGGAAAGAAACATACCAAAATATAGCTAAGAGTGGTATTAAAACACTCCTGAATTTAGATTTTTGTCTCTATTTTCAAGCCTTTATAGCTCAGCCTAAAAAGGAAACAAATATCTGTTGTTGCCAGCAGTCCCTAGATTTCAGGGGAATTTGGATCAAGGCCAGATTTACATTTCAGATCCCATCCACACACCATTCTGTTAGCACAATTATAAGAGTAGCATAATGAATCTGTAGCCTGACCATTCTGTAGGATTCTCACCTTATTTATTCATTCTACTAGGAATCCCTTTTGCCTCCTATATTCATGACAGCTAAATATTCAATCTGTTAACGTCCCATGTACTGAATCAAAGTTATTTCCTGGTCATCAAAGTAATTTAACTAATATGAATGGAGAACTTACTATTGGTCAATCACTATGTCAGGTTATGAGGAAACAATGACAATGAATATAAATTCCATGTGCAAATCAAGGAGTTATGATGAATCAACGTATGGCCCAACAGTATAATGTCACATAAAGTGCTGGCAGGAGAGTAGGTTACAAGCAGGATGAGAAATAATGGGACAACAGTTTAAAACAGAAGGCTGCAGCATCGCCTACAGCAATGTGTATACTATGATGTGGACATCATCTTCCAACTTTGAAGTTTTCAACCATGAGACACATTGGAGTCTCATGACACGCTAATATGTGAGTGGTGCTACAATTAATGGTTTTTGTTTGTTTTTGCTTTTTAGTAAATTAGAGAAGATTCATCATCTTCATTCTTATGTCATTCATATTCAATTACCTTTTGTGCAATAAAGAGCTGACATTTCAGTTTCTCTATTGAAGATTGTAAATAAAAATATCTAACATGTGTACAATATCACTCACTGTATGCTAAAATCAAATTTGCTGGATTTCCCCCTACCCATTCCATTTCTAGCCTTTTTTGATAGAAGGAAATGCCTTCATTTGAGAGACCTGCCTTTTCCTACCTCTTATCGTCCTAGGAGTTTCTGATCACAGTACCCTACCTTGCTAGCTACATGTGTATTTGTACTATCCCTGGCCAATCAGGCTGAACCATTCCTCCAGGCACAGTGATCAGCACAGGAATGAAAATAACTAAAATTGGAGCCAACCTGATATACCCTGATGACAAGGATGCTTTATCATAGGGAGAGAATGAGGATAACAGAAAGAATCTGAGAGATAGAATGGTGGCAATGGGGTTGGGAGGGAGGACAGAAGGGAAGAGAAGAAGGAGAGACAGTTACAGAATACGAAGGCAATAATATAACTGGAAAACCACAAGGCCCATTCTATATTTGAGCAACCCAGTTATAATTGCCAACATATTTTTATCTTTATGATGTGTGTATATGTGCATGTGTGTGTGTATTCCAAGCAATATTTATATATTTATGGGAAGAAAAAAGTTGAGCATCAAAAATAGAATTGGTCAGAAAATATTCAAAGTATTTAAGCAAGCAAATTATTTGGACTTTTAGAAAAATCATTTTGACAGTAACAAGAAATAGAATCAGGAAAGCCTAAAGACAAAAAATATAAAACACAAACAGTTAAGGAAATCATAACTACAGCTCAGATGACATTGTTTATTATTAGTATTATTAGTTGTGGGTGTAGTAACTATTATTTGCTGTCTGCAATATGCAAACTTAATGCTACCTTTCTTTATGCATTATCCCAATTAAACTTTATAATATCTTGGTAAGTGAAGCATCATTTTCACTTATCAGTCACGGTTCCGGTTTAGGGAGATGAGGTAATTTATCCAAGCTCATGTAGATAGTAGTTAGTAAATTCAAGATTCACATGTAAGTCCATCTGACCCCAGTACCCATGACCCAAACCACTACTTACCATACTTTCCAGATTATGAGGACTTGAACTAAAGCAAGACAAAAACATTTTGGTACAAGGCATATCACCTCCATATATAATGTATGAGTACTACTAGCCTTCTTTTGTAACCTAGTAAAAAGAATTCGGGCTTTATTATTTCCAGGTTTTGGTCTTTTCCCTTTCACTGCTACTATTAAGTAGGGAACTGAGTGTGCCAGAGGATTCTTTTGCTCTCTTATTAGGAGGAATGTAAAGGAAAGGGCAAAATGTAGAAGTAATTATTAGAAGTATGAAAAGAAAGGTGTATGTGAAGGACAGTTTTATAATACTGCTTTGCAGTAGGTATACCCTTGATAATAATACATGAAAGCAATTAAAGGATGTGATAACTTACTTGTTGCAAGCTTCTGATCAAGACATTATCAGTGATTAGACTATGAATCATGATTTCAACAGAGTTAAAATAAATACTCTCTTACCCTCCATAGCAAATAAAACTATTTAAGTAGTGAATAAATGTAATTGTCATGTAGTGAAGAACTGTACATTCGTGGTTGCTGTATAGTTTTTTTTTTGTTTTTTGAGACAGAGTCTTGCTCTATTGCCCAGGCAGGAGTGCAGTGTTGCGATCTTGGCTCACTGCAACCTCCGCCTCCTGGGTTCCAGCGATTCTCCTGCCTCACCCTCTCACGTAGCTGTGACTAAAGGTATGTGCCACCATGCCAGGCTAATTTATTTTTGTATTTTTGGTAAACACAGGGTTTCACTATGTTGGCCAGGCTGGTCTCGAACTCCTGACCTCAGGTGATCCGCCTGCCTCAGCCTCCCAAAGTGCTGGAATTACAAAACTATATAGTAGGGGTTATAGTCTCATATTCCAAGGTTTGAATTAGTATCATAATCCCTGAGACAAACCTGAATAATGGCACCAACCTATGGACAAGTCATGTATATTTGCATAGGTTTTGGAAATCAGCTTCCAAAACTAGTCTGCACTTAAAACTGAGGTGCTTATAATTCTGTTCCCAGCCAAGTGTTCATTTTTTCTTCTTTTCCTTAATGCCCACCTCCCTCATACCACATCTTCCCTAAACATTATCCCTTGGAGCATAAACTGTACTGTTAATTTCTCTGCAATAAATACATTTTATAACAACAGAAACAACCACCTCAAATTTGTTTCTGTAAAATAGCCTCAAAAGGGTCATCTTTTGCATGTTTTCAAAGTGGAGCACTCTCAAGCTAGAGTCTGTGCCTCTGAACTACTTCACTTATGTCTGAAGTTATCACAAGAAAATAGATATTAATAGTTTATTGACTCACAAAGCATGTCTAAGGTAATTCACTGAAGTGACCCTTACAAGAACAAAGGAGAAGCATTGCCCTAAGAAAAACTGTCAAGTTTACCCTTAGAGAACTGGGAAGCACATGTTTCAAAGCTTTAGAATAGCTATTTGATGATCTCTACGAATAGCCATCAAAGATTCAAAATTACTGAGGTCCATGCTTCTAGGAACTTATGAGATAATTACTGAAAATGAAAAGACATTTAAAAACCCATATGAAAATATTTCATCAGATAGAATCTAAAATATCCAGCTGTTAATTTAGTACTGGAAACACAGCAATTCATAGATATTAGCACACACACACACACACACACAAACGCGCACAAAAGCAAGTAACAACGCACAGTGAGGTATTTTAGGCTAGTGATTTGTAAGCAGCAATCTCTATTGTCATGTTCTAGCAAGTTTAATTTTTTTTTTTTAAATTGATCAAATCTTACACAAACCAATTGAATCTGATGCTCTAAAGGTGTGGGTTGAGGGCTTGCATTTTGGAAAATTTCCCATGGGATTCTGACATGCCCCATTAAAATCACCGGGCTCCTAAACTAGAAAGTGGTATTCTCCTTGATTGAGCAAGAGACAGCAGACCAACAAAGTTCCCTTGATGAGCCAGTCCTACACTCTCACTTGGTCACCATTATTATTGTTTAAAAAATTGTTACCATGCAAAACAATTTAATGTTTCTTAACTATTCCTGTTGCTGGCAGTGGACAAAAAAAGACAGGAAACTGGTAGGAACATGATTTTCTCTCTCTGGGAAACTTGCTGATGAGAGTGATCTTGGGCCCTACTATGAGAGATAGAACACTTAGAGTTCAAAAGACTTGTGAATGGGATCCATGCAGCAATCCACATGCAAAACACAATTGTGCAGAAAAATAGCATTTTTCACACTTTCAAATGAATTTGTTTCTGAAAGTCATGGGAACCCAAACCAAATTTTCTGCTAACCTATCCCACATGGCTGCGAATTTGGCTGCTGTGAAAATTTGCTTGGTGAGTATATTATAATCTTCTCTATTCTTTTTCATAATCCATATTCATACTTTTTGCTACTATAATTATTTAGTAAAGTGTATCGAGGTTCACATTCTTACACTAATTTTAAATCCCCCACTATACAATAATAAGTTGCTACCAATAGTAGCGGTCATTAAATTTCTTGTTGATATTTCTAATCTACTTAAATTCCTTTTAATTTGTTGATCTTATGACAACACTTTGTGGCCTTTTGGAAATTACTTCAAATATCTTCACAGTTTTGTGAATTGTAATATTTTTCAAGAGGTAGTTCATATACATATTTCATACACCATATGGACAAATTCAAAATATTCTATCAAATGAGAGAAACAAGAAATACAATTCTTTTTATAAATCAGGCAGACTCCCAAGCCAGAATAGGCTGAGAGAGACTCCTAATGCAATTCAATAGCAACATCTTTCAAGATACTTTTTAAGATTAAACTCATGAATTCCTTAATTTATCTTGAATTCTTGAATATTCCTCTTCTGATACATTAAGGAAGTTATAATATTTACAAATATGTCAGAATTTGGAATATATATTATATATATATATAAAAATTAGTGCAATTATTTTACATCTATCTTTTACTTTGTGCCTTATCTCTATACATTCTTAACCCTTAGTTGTCACTGTCACATTTTGAATGGTACTTCTATACGACAAACTGACAAAATTTTATATGAACGTTCAACAGGTTAAATTAAATGTATGAAAGTCAAATATAAAAAGTAATTATAAATAAATGTAGCAGTGAACTTGGGAAGTGAACTTAGATTTAACTTCTCCTCTTTTCCTACTAGCGAGCTTTTCAAAGCAGGATGGCTTCCAATCATCAGGCATCTGCAAAATATTTTTGTTATAATCTTTTCTTACTAGCCAATTAAGTTTGGATATCTTAATTACATATTGTGCTTGCAGATCTTGAACTGGAGTTTAATCTCTACAAATAAAGTTAAGTGTGGGAAAGTTAATGTCTCTTTGTCCTTATCTGTTCATAGCCTACTTGGAATAATAAAGGAGGGTCCAGTACCAATGACGTAAGACGGGGATTCTAAATACCACAGAAACCTTTCTCTGAATTCCATTTTGATTGGGGTGGCTACCATATTACATTAGGAATGAGATGGCATAGCTGGGCCAAGATTTTAAAAATTATTGTAATTTGGAGATTATGGAAATTTTCTGACAGTTTCTCATTAGGTTGGTGCACAAGTAATTGGGTTTTTGCCATTATTTTCAATGGCAAAGCTTCAATTACTTGTCCACCAACCTGATAGTATTTTGTAACTTTAATTTAAATTTTTGGTACTTTTTTGTAGATTTAATTGAGTTAAAGATCTGAAAATGAGATCATTCTGGATTTAGAGGCCATCTTGGATTTAGGGTGGTCCCTATATCCAGTGACCGGCATCATTATATGGAAGGTAGAGGAAGGTTTGACACACAGGTACACAGAGAAAAGAAAAGCATGCATGACTTTTAGGTAAAGTGATGTCAAATGGACATCAAAATAGCCCAATATTCCACTAACCAAATTCTCTCCCTCTGTTGTATTATTAAAATATTTTTCCTGAGAGCCTGTAGGGATTCATAGAACATACTAATATATTTAGTAATATAATATATTCAGATATGTTATCTGAACAGCTGAAGGGAGGAGATGGAAGAGCAAAAAATTAATTAATAACCCATGCTAATTGATTTACAAGGAGTTAGTTCTGAGTTCTACTATAAATATGACCTGATTATTCTAATTGTCGAATTTCCCTCTTATTAGCTTTTTTTTTTTTTTAGATCATGTGGGAAATACTCACTTAAATGAAATTTATTGTTGTTTGAAATGTATGCCACTTTTCATATGAGTGTAAGCTATTTGACCCCACAAAAGCAAACTCTTTTTCTTGCTAAGTATTAAAATTTCACAGATGAGTTCTGGCAAAATGGCTGAATAGGAACAGCTCTGGTCTGCATCTCCCAGTGAGACCAATGCAGAAGGCGGGTGATTTCTGCATTCCAACTGAGGTACCCTGTTTATCTCAATGGGACTGGTTAGGCAGTGGGTGCAGCCCATGGAGGGCAACGAGAAGCAGGGTGGAGCATCGCCTCACCCAGGAAGTTCAAAGAGTGAAAGCCTCCCTCTCCCAGCCAAGGGAAGCCATGAGGGACTGTGCTGTGAGGAACTGTGCTATCCAGCCCAGATACTGTGCTTTGCCCATGGTTTTTGCAATCTGCAGACCAGGAGATTCCCTCGTGTGCCTACATCACCAGGGTCCTGGGTTTCAAGCACAAAACTGGGTGGCTGTTTGGGCAGACACTGATCTAGCTGCAGGATTTTTTTTTTTTTCCGCCCCATGCACCAGTGGCATCTGTAACCCAGGCAAGACAAAACCATGCACTCCCCTGGAAAGGGGGCTGAAGCCAGGGAGCCAAGTGGTCTCACTCAGTAGGTCCCACTCCCACAGAGCAAGCTAAGAACAACTGGCTGGAAATTCTAGCTGCCAGCACTGCAGTCTGAAGTCAACCTGGAACTATCAAGCTTGGTGCGGGGAGAGGTGTCCGCCATTACTGAGGCTTGAGTAGGTGGTTTTCCCCCAACAGTAATAAGGACTGGGTGGAACTCAACACAGTGTGGCAAAGCGGCTGTGGCCAGACTGCCTCTCTGGATTCCTCTTCACTGGGCAGGGAATCTCTGAAAGAAAGGCAGAAGCACCAGTCAGGGGCTTATGGATAAAACTCCCAACTCCCTGGGACAGAGCACCTGGGGGAAGGGGTGGCTGTAGGCGCAGCTTCAGCAGACTTAAACATTCCTGCCTGCCAACTCTGAAGACAGCAAAGGATCCTGAAAAGGAGGGTCCTCTCAACACAGCGCTTGAGCTCTGTTAAGGGACAGACTGCCTCTTCAAGTTGGTCCCTAACCCTTGTGCCTCCTGACTTTGGGAGACCTTCTAGCAGGGGCCAACAGACACCTCATACAGGAGAGCTCCGGCTGGCAACAGGCGAGTGCCCCTCTGGGACGAAGCTTCCAGAGGAAGGAGCAGGCAGCAATCTTTGCTGTTCTGAAGCCTCCATTGGTGATACCCAGGCAAATAGGATCTGGAGTGGACCTCCAACAAACTGCAACAGACCTAAAGAAGAGGGGCCTGACTGTTAGAAGAAAAACTAATGAACAGAAAGCAATAACATCAACATCAACAAAAAGTACCCCCACACAGAACCCCATCCAAAGCTCATCAGCCTCAAAGATCAAAGGTAGATAAATCCACAAAGATGAAGAAAAACCGGAGCACAAATGCTGAAAATTCCAAAAACCAGAATACCTCTTCTCCTCCAAATGATCACAACTCCTCTCCAGCAAGGGTACAACACTGGACAAAGAATGAATTTGATGAAATCACAGAAGCAGGCTTCAGAAGGTGGGTAATAACAAACTCCTCTGAACTAAAGAAGCTTGTTCGAACCCAATGCAAAGAACCTAAAAACCTTGACAAAAGGTAATAGGAACTGCTAACTAGAATAATCAGTTTAGAGAAGAACATAAATGACCTGATGGAGATGAAAAACACAGAATGAGAACTTCGTGAAGCATATACAAGTATGAAGAGCTGAATCAGTCAAGCAGAAGAAAGGATATCAGAGATTGAAGATCAACTTACTGAAATAAGGCATGAAGATAAGATTAAAGAGAATGAAAAGGAATGAATAAAGCCTCCAAGAAATATGGGACTATATGAAAAGACCAAACCTATGTTTGATTGTTGTACCTGAAAGTGATGGGGAGAATGAAACCAAGTTGGAAAACACTCTTCAGGATATTATCCAGGAGAACTTTCTCAACCTAGCAAGACAGGCCAACCTTTAAATTCAGGAAATACAGAGACACCACTAAGATACTCCTTGAGAGGAGCAACCCCAAGACACATAATCATCAGATTCACCAAGGTTGAAATGAAGGAAAAAATGTTAAGGGGAGCCAGAGAGAAAGGTCAAGTTACTTACAAAGGGAAGCCCATCAGACTAACAGATGTCTCTGCAGAAACCTTACAAGCCAGAAGAGAGTGGAGACCAATATTTAACATGCTTAAAGAAAAGAATTTTGAACCCAGAATTTCATATCCAGCCAAACTAAGCTTCATAAGTGAAGGAGAAATAAAATACTTTACAGACAAGCAAATGCTGAGAGATTTTGTCACCAACCAGGTCTGCCTTACAAGAGCTCCTGAAGGAAGCACTAAACATGGAAAGGAAAAACCTGTACCAGCCACAGCAAAAACATACCAAAATGTAAAGACCAATGACACTATGAAGAAACTGCATCAACTAATGTGCAAAATAACCAGCTAGCATCATGATCATGGGATCAAATTCACACATAACAACATTATCCTTAAATGTAAATGGACCAAATGCCCCAATTAAAAGACAAAGACTGATAAATTGGATAAAGAGTCAAGATCCAACAGTTTGCTGTATTCAGAAGACCCATCTCACATGCAAAGACACACATAGGCTCAAAATAAAGGAATGGAGGAGTCTTTACCAAGCAAATGGAAAGCAAAGAAAAGCAGAGGTTGCAATCCTAGTCTCTGATAAAACAGACTTTAAACCAACAAAGATCAAAAAGGACAAAGAAGGGCATTACATAATGGTAAAGGAATCAATGTAACAAGAAGAGCTAACTATCCTAAATATATATGCACTCAATACAGGAGCACCCAGGTTCATAAAACAAGTTCTTAGATACCTACACAGAGATTTAGACTCCCACACAATAATAGTGGGATAATTTAACACCCCACTATTAATATTAGACAGATCAACGAGACTGAAAATTAACAAGGATATTCAGGACTTGAACTCAGCTCTGGACCAAGTGGACCTAACAGACATATACAGGACTCCCCATCCTAAATCAACAGAATATGCATTCTTCTCAGCACCACACAGCACTTATTCTAAAACTGACCACATAATTGGAAGTAAGACACTCATCAGCAAATGCAAAAGAACAGAAATCTTAATAGCCTCTCAGACCACAGTGCAAATTAGAACTGAAGATAAAGAAACTCACTCAAAACCGCACAACTACGTGGAAACTGAAGAACCTGCTCCTGAATGACTACTGCGCAAATAACAAAATTATGGCAGAAATAATGAAGTTCTTTGAAACCAATGAGAACAAAGACACAACATACCAGAATCTCTGGGACACGCTAAAGCAATGTTTAGAGAGAAATTTATAGCACTAAATGTTCACATCAGAAAGTGGGAAAGATCTAAAACCGACACTCTAACATCACAATTAAAAGAACTAGAAAAGCAAGAGCAAACAAATTCAAAAGCTAGCAGAAGATAAGAAATAACTAAGATCAGAACAGAACTGAAGGAGATAGAGACATGAAAAACCCTTCAAAAATCAATGAATCTAGGAGCTGGTTTTTTGAACAGATTAACAAAATAGACCACTAGCCAGAGCAATAAAGAAGAAAAGAGGGAACATTCAAATAGAAAAAATAAAAAATTATAAAGGGGATATCACCACTGATCCCACAGAAATACAAACTATCATCAGAGAATACTGTAAACACCTCTACGCAAATAAATTAGAAAATCTAGAAGAAATGGATAAATTCCTGGACACATACACCCTTCCCAAAACTAAACCAGGAAGAGGTCGAATCCCTGAATAGACCAACAATGAGTTCTGAAATTGAGGCAGTAATTAACAGCCTACCAACCACAAAAAGCTCAGGACCAGACAGATTCATAGCCGAATTCTACCAGAGGTACAAAGAGGAGCTGGTACCATTCCTTCTGAAATTATTCCAAACAATAGAAAAAGAGGGAATCCTCCCTAAATGGCATCATCCTGATACCAAAACCTGGCAGAGACATAACAAGGAAAATTTTAGGCTAATATCCCTGATGAACATCAGTGTGAAAATCCTCAATAAAATACTGGCAAACCGAATCCAGCAGCACACATCAAAAAGCTTATCCACCACAATCAAGTCAGCTTCATCCCTGGGATGCAAGGCTGGTTCAACATACACAAATCAACAAACATAATTCATCGCATAAATAGAACCAATATAAACAAATTCTACTATAAAGACAAAGACCACATGATTATCACAATAGATGCAGAAAAGGCCTTTGATAAAATTCAACATCCCTTCATGCTAAAAACTTTCAATAAACTAGGTATTGATGGAACATATCTCTAAATAATAAGAGCTATTTATGATAAACCCATAGCCAATATCATACTGAATGGGCAACAGCTGGAAGCATTCCCTTTGAAAACTGGCACAAGACAAGGATGCCCTCTCTCACAACTTCTATTCAACATAGTATTGGAAGTTCTGGCCAGAGCAACCAGGCAAGAGAAAGAAATAAAGGGTATTCAAATAGGAAGAGAGGAAGTCAAACTGTGTCTGTTTGCAGACGACATGATTGTATATTTAGAAAACCCCATTTTCTCAGCCCAAAATCTCCTTAAGCTGATAGGCAACTTCAGCAAAGTCTCAGGATACAAAATCAATAGGAAAAAATCACAAGCATTCCTATACACCAATAATAGACAAGCGGAGAGCCAAATCATGAGTGAACTCCCATTCACAATTACTACAAAGAAAATAAAATACCTAGGAATTCAATTTACAAGGAATGTGAAAAACTTCTTCAAGGAAAACTACAAACCACTGCTCAAGGAAATAAAAGAGGACACAAACAAATGAAAACGAATTCCATGCTCATGGATAAAAGACTCAATATCATGAAAATGGCCATACTGCCCAAAGTAATTTATAGATTATATGCTATCCCCATCAAGCTACCACTGACTTTCTTCACAGAACTAGAAAAAACTACTTTAAATTTCATATGGAATCAAAAAAGAGCCTGTATAGCCAAGACAATCCTAGCAAAAAGAACAAAGCTGGAGGCATCATGCTACCTGACTTCAAACTATACTACAAGGCTACAGTAACCAAAACAGCACGGTACTAGTACCAAAACAGATATATAGACGAAGGGAATAGAACAGAGGCCTCAGAAATAACACCACACATCTACAACCATCCGATCTTCGACAAATCTGACAAAAACAAGCAATGGGGAAAGGATTCCCTATTCAATAAATGGTGCTGGGAAAGCTGGCTAGCCATATACAGAAAAGAGTAACTGGACCCCTTCCTTCCACCTTACACAAAAATTAACTCATGTTGGGTTAAAGACTTAAACATAAAATCTAAAACCATAAAAACCCCAGAAGAAAACCTAGGCAATACCATTCAGGACACAGACATGGGCAAAGACTTCATGACTAAAACACCAAGAGCAATTGCAAAAAAGCAAAAATTGACAAATAGGATCTAATTAAACTAAAGAGCTTCTGCTCAGCAAAAGAGACTATCATCAGAGTGAACAGGCAACCTATATAATGGGAGAGAATTTTTGCAATCTCTCCATCTGACAAAGGTCTAACATCCAGAATCTACAAGGAACTTAAAAAAATTTACAAGAAAAAAACAACCCCATCTAAAAGTGGGTAAAGGATATGAACACTTTTCAAAAGAAGACATTTATGTGACCAACAAACATATGAAAAAAAGATCTAAAACTGACACCCTAACATCACAATTAAAAGAACTAGAGAAGAAAGAGCAAACACATTCAAAAGTTAGCAGAAGGCAAGAAATAACTAAGATCAGAGCAGAACTGAAGGACATAGAGACAAAAAAAAACCCTTCAAAAAAATCAATGAATCTGGGAGCTGGTTTTTTTGAAAAGATCAACAAAATTGATAGACTGCTAGCAAGACTAATAAAGAAGAAAAGAGAGAAGAATAAAATAGACCCAATAAAAAATGACAAAGGGGATATCACCACCGATCCCACAGAAATACAAACTACCATCAGAGAATACTATAAGCACCACTATGCAAATAAACTAGAAAATCTAGAAGAAATGGATAAATTCCTTGACACATACACTCTCCCAAGACTAAACCAGGAAGAAGTTGAATCTCTGAATAGACCAATAACAGGCTCTGAAATTGAGGCAATAATTAATAGCTTACCAACCAAGAAAAGTCCAGCACCATATGGATTCACAGCTGAAGTCTACCAGAGGTACAAAGAGGAGCTGGTACCATTCCTTCTGAAACTATTCCAATCAATAGAAAAAGAGGGAATCCTCCCTAACTCATTTTGTGAGGCCAGCATCATCCTGACAGCAGCCTGGCAGAGACACACACAAAAAAGGGAATTTTAGACCAATATCCTTGATGAACACTGATGCAAAAATCCTCAATAAAATACTGGCAAACTGAATCCAGCAACACATCAAAAAGCTTATCCACGATGATCAAGAGGGCTTCATCCCTGGGATGCAAGGCTGATTCAACATACGAAAATCAATAAACGTAATCCATCATATAAACAGAACCAAAGACAAAAACCACATGATTATCTCAAAAGATGCAGAAAAGGCCTTTGACAAAATTCAGCAAGCCTTCATGCCAAAAACTCTCAATAAATTAGGTATTGATGGGACATATCTCAAAATAATAAGAGCTATCTATGACAAACCCACAGCCAGTGTCATACTGAATGGGCAAAAACTGGAAGCATTCCCTTTGAAAACTGGCACAAGACAGGGATGCCCTCTCTCACCACTCCAATTCAACATAGTGTTGGAAGTTCTGGCCAGGGCAATCAGGCAGGAGAAGGAAATAAAGGGCATTCAATTAGGAAAAGAGGAAGTCAAATTGTCCCTGTTTGCAAATGACATGATTGTATATCTAGAAAACCCCATTGTCTCAGCCCAAAATCTCCTTAAGCTGATAAGCAACTTCAGCAAAGTCTCAGGATACAAAATCAATGTGCAAAAATCACAAGCATTCTTATACACCAATAACAGACAGAGAGCCAAATCATGAGTGAACTCCTATTCACAATTGCTTCAAAGAGAATAAAATACCTAGGAATCCAACTTACAAGGGATGTGAAGGACCTCTTCAAAGAGAACTACAAACCACTGCTCAAGGAAATAAAAGAGGATACAAACAAATGGAAGAACATTCCATGCTCATGGGTAGGAAGAATCAATATCGTGAAAATGGCCATACTGCCCAAGGTAATTTATAGATTCAATGCCATCCCCATCAAGCTACCAATGACTTTCCTCACAGAACTGGAAAAAACTACTTTAAAGTTCATATGGAATCAAAAAAGAGCCCGTATTGCCAAGTCAACCCTAAGCCAAAAGAACAAAGCTTGGAGGCATCAAGCTACCAATGTCTTTCCTCACAGAACTGGAAAAAACTACTTTAAAGTTCATATGGAATCAAAAAAGAGCCCGCATTGCCAAGTCAACCCTAAGCCAAAAGAACAAAGCTTGGAGGCATCAAGCTACCTGACTTCAAACTATACTACAAGGCTACAGTAACCAAAACAGCATGGTACTGGTACCAAAACAGAGATATAGGCCAATGGAACAGAACAGAACCCTCAGAAATAATGCTGCATATCTACAACTATCTGATCTTTGACAAACCTGACAAAAACAAGCAATGGGGAAAGGATTCCCTATTTAATAAATGGTGCTGGGAAAACTGGCTAGCCATATGTAGAAAGCTGAAACTGGATCCCTTCCTTACACCTTGTACAAAAATTAATTCAAGATGGATTAAAGACTTACATGTTAGACCTAAAACCATAAAAACCCTAGAAGAGAACCTAGGCAATATCATTCAGGACATAGGCATGGGCAAGGACTTCATGTCTAAAATACCAAAGGCAATGGCAACAAAAGCCAAAATTGACAAATGGGATCTAATTAAACTAAATAGCTTCTGTACAGCAAAAGAAACTACCATCAGAGTGAACAGGCAACCTACAGAATGGGAGAAAATTTTTGCAACCTACTCATCTGACTAAGGGCTAATATCCAGAATCTACAATGAACTCAAATAAATTTACAAGAAAAAAACAAACAACCCCATCAAAAAGTGGGTGAAGGATATAAACAGACACTTCTCAAAAGAAGATATTTATGCAGCCAAAAAACACATGAAAAAATGCTCATCATCATTGGCCATCAGAGAAATGCAAATCAAAACCACAATGAGATACCATCGCACACCAGTTAGAATGGCGATCATTAAAAAGTCAGGAAACAACAGATGCTGGAGAGGATGTGGAGAAATAGGAACACTTTTACACGGTTGGTGGGACTGTAAACTAGTTCAACCATTGTGGAAGTCGGTGTGGCAATTCCTCAGGGATCTAGAACTAGAAATACCATTTGACCCAGCCATCCCATTACTGGGTATATACCCAAAGGACTATAAATCATGCTGCTATAAAGACACATGCACAGGTATGTTTATTGCGGCACTATTCACAATAGCAAAGACTTGGAACCAACCCAAATGTCCAACAATGATAGACTGGATTAAGCAAATGTGGCACATATACACCATGGAATACTATACAGCCATAAAAAATGATGAGTTCATGTCCTTTGTAGGGACATGGATGAAACTGGAAACCATCATTCTCAGCAAACTATCGCAAGGACAAAAAGCCAAACACCGCATGTTCTCACTCATAGGTGGGAATTGGACAATGAGCACACATGGACACAGGAAGGGGAACATCACACACCGGGGACTGTTGTGGGCTGGGGGGAGGGGGGAGGGATAGCATTAGGAGATATACCTAATGCTAAATGACGAGTTAATGGGTGCAGCACACCAACATGGCACATGTATACATATGTAACAAACCTGCACGTTGTGCACATGTATCCTAAAACTTAAAGGATAATAATAATAATAATAAAGAAAATAATAAAAAAAAAGAAAAAAAGCTTTTCATCACTGGTCATTAGAGAAATGCAAATCAAAACCACAATGTGATACTATATCATGCCAGTTAGAATGGCGATCATTAAAATGTCAGGAAACAGCAGATGCTGGTGAGGATGCAGAGAAATAGGAACACTTTTACACTGTTGGTGGGAGCGTGCATTAGTTCAACCATTATGGAAGATAGTGCGTCAATTCCTCAAGGATCTAGAACCAGCAATCCCATTACTGGGTATATACCCAAAAGATTATAAATCATTCTACTATAAAGACACATGCACACATATGTTTACTGCAGCACTATTTACAATAGCAAAGACTTGGAACAAACCTAAATACCCATCAATGATAGACTGGATAAATAAAATGTGGCACATATACACTGTGGAATACTATGCGCCATAAAAAGAATGAGTCCATGTCCTTTGCAGGGACATGGATGAACCTGGAAACCATCATCCTCAGCAAACTGACACAGGAACAGAAAACCAAACACCACATGTTGTCACTCATAAGTGGGAGTTGAACAGTCAGAACATATGGGCACTGGAGGGGAATATCACACAGTGGGGCCTGTCAGGGGTTGGGGGTTTGGGAAGGGATAACATTAGAAGAAATACTTAATATAGATGACGGGTTGATGGGTGCAGCCAACCACCATGGCACATGTATTCCTATGTAACAAACCTGCACGTTCTGCACATGTATCCCAGAACTTAAGTATAATTTTTTAAAAAGAGGCTGGGCACGGTGGCTCATGCCTGTAATCCCACCACTTTGAGAGGCCAAGGTAGGTGGATCACGAAGGCAGGTGGATCACAAAGTCAGGAGTTCGAGACCAGCCTGGCCAACACGATGAAACCCCATCTCTACTAAAAATACAAAAATTAGCT
Organism: Homo sapiens; assembly: GCF_000001405.40. Lineage (NCBI taxonomy): Eukaryota > Metazoa > Chordata > Mammalia > Primates > Hominidae > Homo > Homo sapiens. Next base: position 165,964,280 of record NC_000005.10, on the reverse strand, counting down.
AGGCGTGGTGGTGAGCGCCTGTAGTCCCAGATACTCAGGAGGCTGAGCCGGGAGAATTGCTTGAAACCAGAAGGCAGAGGTTGCAGTGAGCTGAGATTATGCCACTGCACTCCAGTGTGGGCAACAAGAGTGAAACTCCGTATCCAAAAAAAAGAAAAGAAAAGAAAATTAGAAACTTAGTTCATTTGGATAAGGTCAATAAGCATCCCGGATCCTTATGCTAAAACTGAAAAAGGCCCAGTGCATTTCAGTGTATTTAAAAAATAGTTATCTTATCCCATAATAACACACACACACACACACACACACACACACACTTTGCCAAGTATGTGAATATGAACTATTACCCAGATAAGATGTCTTATATTATAGTATTTGCCTATATACAATTTTTTTGAAGTAGGTAAACTATTACAATTAATGAATTGAGGTTAAGATTACTGATTACAAAGTGAGGTACACACAAAGAACATATCAACTATATTTCTCAACACCAGAAATATATATTAGAAAACGAAATTCTAAAAATTTAAAATGTCATCAGGCATATCAACTACATAAATAATGTCTAACAAATGATGTGTACAGTACCGAAGATGCTATGATATTTGGAATGAGATTAAACAAAAACAGAATGAAGTGAAATACCTTTTGCATGAATGTTACAAAGATTCAGTATTGAAAATATCTCAATTATACTAGTTTTAGCTATCAATACAGTAAAATCCTAATCAGAATCCCAACAGAGGGCTATGTGTGTGTGTGTGTGTGTGTGTGTGAGAGAGAGAGAGAGAGAGAGAGAGAGAGAGAGAGAGAGAGAGAGACAGAGAAGCCTTTCAAGGTAATTCTAAAATGTATATGGAAACACAAAGAGCTAATAATAGCCAAGACAGCCTTGAGGGACCCAAGAGGGAGGGAGGAATAGCTCTTCTGGTTATCAAGACTAATTATAAAGCTACTATAATATAATTAAGTCAGTGTGGTATTTGCTTAATTATTATATAGACAAACGGAACATTATCAGAAAGTTCAGAGAGAGTTACATCTATGTGAACAGTTGATTTATGGAAATGATGGCCTTACAGAGAAGTGAAGAAAATGAAGTTATTTTAGTAAAAGGTGTTGGTTCAATTATATCTTCATATGGAACTACAAAGTAAAATTTGACTCTGTGTCACTCCATACACGATAGTAAATTCCAAGTAGATTATAAGCCTAAATTTGAAAGGCATGACAATATGCTTCCAAATTTTATCATCTTAAAGAGTAGGGAAATAGTGGCTAAATGGTAAGCACTAACTACAAACAAAAATTGACAAATTAATGTACATGAAATTGAAAACTGATTTATCAAAAGATACCATCAAGAAAGTAAAAAACAAGCTACAGATTGGGAGAAGATATCTATAATATAAAAAACATGCCTGTATGTTACTACAAAAATGACATAAATCCAAAAGATAAAAGAGCAAGTGACTGGAGTCACTTCATGAAAAAGGATATTCAAATATGTAATAAACATATTCAAATGTGCTTAACCTCATTTGCAACCAGGAAACTGCAATCTAAAATCACAATAAAATTTCACTCCACACCCACTGACAAGTCCTAGTGTTGGAGAGGATGTGAGACAACTGGAACTTATGTATTCTTGGTAGCAATGTATATTGATAGAGTCAGTTTTGAAAGTTTTGCATTATCTTCTAAAGTTTAACAAATATGTATCCTATGACCCAGTACATGCCCGACTGAAATACATTCACATGTGCTCAACAGACATGTACAAGAATATTCACAGGTAAGTGTATAAAGATGTTCAGCTATATTTGCAATAAACAAAAGCTGGAGAAAACTCAGATGTCCCTCTATACTAAAATGGATAAATGGTAAAGTAGTCCCCTTTTAACTGGCATTTTGCTTTCTACAGTACAAGGTATTTTGAAAGAAAGAGCAAGAAAACACTTTCGACTTTTTTTTTACAGTGTATTGTTATACTTGTTCTATTTCAATACCATTTATTGTTGTTAATCTCTTACTGTGCCTAATTCATAAATTAAACTTTATCATATGTATTATGTATAGGAACGAACATCATATATATAGTGTTTGGTACTATCTGAGGTTTCTGGCACCCACTGAGGGTCTTGGCATATATACCCTGTGGATAAGGAGGGACTGTGTATTCACACAATATTCCTTTGTATTTCAAAGTATGCGCAAGGAAAATAACTGAAATATAACTATATGTAATAACATGGATGAATTACCCGAACAACGCTAAGCAAAGATGACAGATTAAAAAACAACATGTGCATGATTCCATTTATATCAAATTCAAGAGAAAGAAAACTAAACTGGAGTGTTAGAAGTCAAGGCAGTGTCTAACTTTAGACAAGATGAAGAGAGTAGTGGTTAAGATGAGTATCAAGGATAGCTTCTTGAGTACAGGCAACATCCCATCTTTTGACTTGCATGGTGGATATACAAGTATTTACTGTGTAATAATTCACTGAGATATATGTTTATTGACACTTTTCTGCATGTGTGTTGTAATAAAAAGAAAAATGTTAGAAAATATATGTACAATAAATACTAACCAAGTATCATTTTCTTAATATCAGACAAAACATATTTTAGGGCAAATGGAATTACCAAAGAGAAAAAGGGAATACTTGCCCTTGTATGTGTAAGAGTAGAAATGCTTATTGTATCTTCAAGTAGAAATGATAAGGAATCAGCCAGATATGAGTCTGGAATTCATAGCAGAGGCTGGTGCAAGAAATGCAAAGTTGGGAGTCACCAGCAATAACAAACATCTATAGCAGGCAGATGGAAAATATCCCTATAGCCATAGCCATAGATGGGATCAGACAGGTTGAGACTACATCAGGATAAAAGTAGTTCAATGAGAGAGCCCATGCAGCTCTGGTTGTTGAAGAAGAGGCCAATAAGATGAGATTCCCTGACTTCCCCATTCTTTAGTAGGTTGTATATAAAGTTGCCCCTACTTTTGCTAACATTTCCACTTAGGTAATTTTTCATACATGTTTTTAGATCCGCATTTGGAGAGCAATTTCATCTGCTAGCTTCCAGTGTCTTCTATAGGTTTACTGTACTGTAACTGGGATTTCCCCTATCATCACTCGCTGGTCCTCCAATCAGCAGAATGCCAGGAACATACACTGTTAATTAGAATCTTCCTCTTACTCTCCTTGAATGCTTTAATTTTTGGACCTAAAGCACCCCAGAAGCAACCTGCCATAATCAGTACTTACTCATCCTCCCACATGCCCCTGGGGATGCTTTCTGTCCTGGTTATTGTATTTTAATAGGGAAGCATATCACGCCTGTAATCCCAGCACTTCGGGAGGTGGAAGTGGGTGGATCACCTGAGGTCAGGAGTTCAAGACCAGCCTGACCAACATGGAGAAACCCCATCTCTATTAATAATACAAAAGTAGCTGGCTGTGGTGGCGCATGCCTGTAATCCCAGCTACTCAGGAGGCTGAAGCAGAAGAATCGCCTGAACCTGTGAGGCGGAGGTTGCGGTGAGCTGAGATCATGCCAGGAAGCACAGGCCGGGCGCGATGGCTCAGGCCTGTAATGCCAGCACTTTGGGAGGCTGAGGCGGGTGGATCACGAAGTCAGGAGATCGAGATCATCCTGGCCAACATGGTGAAACCCTGTCTCTACTAAAAATACAAAAATTAGCTGGGCGTGGTGGTGCAGGCCTGTAGTCCCAGCTGCTTGGGAGGCTGAGGCAGGAGAATCGCTTGAACCTGGGAGGCAGAGGTTGCAGTGAGCCAAGATTACACCACTGTACTCTAGCCTGGTGACAGAGCGAGTCTCTGTCTCAAAAGAAGAAAAAAGGAAGCATAAATACTGGGTAGGAATGAGTACCAGTGCTTAAGCCACATCAATGCTATGTATAAGAAGACAGCACAGATGGTTAGTCTGTGTTCTGATGTAGACCGCTATTAAGTCTCTGAGTTAGGTGGCAGAAGTGTAAAGTGACTTTTTATCTGCTGTAAGTCATCTCTGAGTTTGTGAGGGCAAGCCTAGGTAGATATTTCTTTAGTCAGGTACCTTGACTAAGGGTATTTCATGGGATTCATATTCCATGGGATTCCTCCTGGATACTGATTAAAAATACTTTTGTAAATACTTGAGACTTTTCATCTTTAACTTTACTGTTACTCATGCTTATTCATGCTCATTCACTGCTTCTACAATTTCATTTCATATCTTCTCATGTGTAACTGTCCTGGACTTCAGTTCTGCCAAACACCATCAAATAGGGCTTAGCAAACAGGCCTTTTCTTGGCCTCACAACTGGCTTCTCTCCAGGAAGAGCAGTAAGCACAAGTTAAATGTAACTCACAGATTATATAAGAGGAAACAATTGCTAAATTGAGAAGATGAACAGCATTGATCTTGAAGGAAATAAAATGTATACTTTGTTTCTTTGATCCATTTTTGATTTCACACATGTGCAACTAGTAGCAAATCCTTTATAAATTGCTGAGAGAAAGGAAAAGTGATCACATCCATAGGAGGCCTGACTGGGCACCTGTGGTGTAACAGGGTTGCAAGACAAAGTGTAAGTCTAGGCTCTACTGCCAAGCCGATTAGCTTCATTGGGCTGGCAATACAGCTTTCCTGAGGAGGAAACGTTTAAAAACAACCAACCTTCAAACACAACTCAAAAAGACCTTTGGGTTGAGAGCAGTGAATAAGATAAAAGATATAAAGTGATTTGAAAAGCCATGAATAGTGTAAAATATTAACAATTAACTGTACTATTTTTGGATTGCATACAGTCATAAAGTTAACCTTTATATAGGTAACATAGTCTCATAAGAACCAGTCTAAATAATTACAGTGAACATTGATTAGTTTTTCTCTCTGGCATCTGTTAATACCTTTCCTTCTAATGACCCCTCAATATTCCTTCAAAGGACTGCCCCCTTTCTCCAAGTCGTTCTTCTGGAGTTGACTTTACATCAGCTTAATCATTCAGCTATATAAATTATGTGGCAAAAGAGATTGTGACTAAATCATAGCCAAGGGAACATAACTTTGGATAGGATGCTGAACCAAGACTCTTCCTCTTTTCCCAATCTTTTCCCAATAAATGTCAGCCTGAAATAATGTTATCCCAGAAACAGCTGGAAACTTTCTTGCAGCCAGGAAGGAAAATGGAGCTTACCCAGAGGAAGCAGAGATGAGGATGGATCTTGGGATACAACATGAATTCTAAATAAAGTTGCACCTGAATCTGTCACTTAAACCTGATGGAGTCCAATGGTTAAATGTGCATAGAGGTGATATCAATATTTCATTATTGCTTATGAAGAAACTGAAGCTCAGAAATGTCAAATAACTTTTCTGAATGCCATGTACATATTGGACGATCCAGCTACTGAACACAGAATGATAATTTGAATTCCAAAGCCCGTTTTGGGCTCTTTAGCTAGATGTGCAAAATTTATTGCTCAATATTGTGTGCGTGTATAACGAATTTGGGAAGATCAGCTTTGTTGTGATGACAGAATTTAAATGTTTCACATTTGGGGAATATTCTCCAAGGAGAAAAATTTTAGAAATAAATGAGATAAGAAATTTTTTCCTGTTAATAGATGGATTCTCTTTACTTAAATACACACAATATTCATTCACGTGCTACTTAATCAAAATTGAACATAGAACTTAAAGAACATAAACTGAAAAAGGAGGTGGGTGGATCACCTGAGGTCAGGAGTTTGAGACCAGACTGGCCAACATGGTGAAACCCTGTCTTTACTAAAAACACAAAAAATTAGCTGGGCGTGGTGGCGCTTGCCTCTAATCCCAGCACTTTGGGAGGTCCAGGCGGGTGGATCACCCAAGGTCAGGAGTTTGAGACCAGCCTGGTCAATATGGTGAAACCCTGTCCCTACTAAAAATTCAAAAAATTAGCCAGCTGTGGTAGCATGAACCTGTAATCCTAGCTACTCAGGAGGCTGAGGCAGGAGAACTGCTGGAACCTGGGAGGAGGAGGTTGCAGTGAGCTAAGATTGAGCCACTGCACTCCAGCCTGGGCAAGAGAGTGAAACTCCATCTAAAAATATATATATATAAACTTTGAAAAATGATTTGATGTACCAAAAATTCATTTTCAATTTTATATTTACATATTAATATGTACACCTGGAAATATTTTTTAATGGGACACTAAAAATGTATATTGAACTGGATCATATTTGTATTTATAAGAAATATATTACTTTAGACATTATTAGCTATTAAAAACACTAGTTTTATTATTATTTTGAGACAAGGGTCTCATTCTGTTGCCCAGGCTGGAGTGCAGTGGTGCAATCTTGGCTCACTGCAACTTTTGCATCCCAGGTTCAAGCGATTCTCCTGCCTCAGCCTTCCAAGAACCTGAGATTACAGGCATGTGCCACCACGCCCAAATAATTTTTGTATTTTTAGTAAAGATGGATTTTACCATGTTGGCGAGGCTGGTCTGGAACTCCTGGCCTCAAGGGATCCACCCACCTCGGCCTCCCAAAGTGCTGGGATTATAGGCGTGAGCCACCACTCCAGCCCAGCCTGCTTTTGTGTTCTAGAAAGTTTTAAATTGCTAAATGATTGAGACCAGCCCAGACCAATGATGCATGTTTTGAATGATTTAGTAATTTGAGTACATATAAGCAATAATTAAGGAAAAAGTGTCAGTCTTGCATCCATTGACACTTGTATTGACTCTGATTCAGAGACTACTGATATGATACCTCTCTCTCTGTGAATCTGTTCTCTGTCTCTAGATGAATCATAATGGCTTGGGAATAACAAACTGTGTTGTTAGACTCACCATATGTTTTTCAATGACATGCTAATGAGTCTCTGAAACACCGTAAAGTAATGCAGAAAAACCTAATAATAGAGTCATCAGTTAGACAAAATATTTCGTGAATGTTTTTGATTGATTTTGCCCAGGTAACGGCAGGAAAAGTCCATTGTGAACCATGAGACGCACAACCTTCTCTGTCCACACTAAACATCAACATCAGGTAAACCTCCCAAATCTCTGGAGGAGCACACTCTGGCGTTTAAGCACATACTTTTTAAAAAGCAAGGTTGTGATTGTCAGGGCTATTGAAAGCTGTTCTTCTCAGTGTCAAAAGTCAATAATCTGAAGAGAGGTTTATATTTTAGATGTTGGGTGTCAATTGTTTCTGTCAACATTGTATTTGCCAGGAAAATCTGTCAGGTAGATATGATAATGTGACAGTTCTGAGCATTGTCTCATGTATCAAAAAAGCATGCATGGACCAGGTAACGATATTGTATCTGTTAGAGACTATAGAAAGGAAAAAGAAAAGAAAAACAGAATAAAACTTCAATGCCTGTAGGAATTAATTTTGTTTCCCACAGTAAAAGCACAGTCAATATTATTCAGTTATTCAAAGGGGAGTTGGAAGTTCAAAGAAAGGCTTTGTATAACACAGTAGTTCCCTCATTCTCGTAGGTAGGCAGTGGTAGCTAATGAAAATTTTATATATATATATATATAAAATATATGTGTGTGTATATATACATAAAATATATGTGTATATATGTGTATATATATCTTATATATGTATATACACATACATACATATATATATATATAATATTTTTTGAGATGGAATCTCACTCTGTCACCAGCCTGGAGTGCAGTGGTGCGATCTCTGCTCTCTGCAACCTCTGCCTCCCGGGTTCAAGCGATTCTCCTGCCTCAGCCTCCCGAGTAGCTGGGACTATAGGTGCACACCAGCAGGCTAAGCTAATTTTTGTATTTTTTTAGTAGAGACGGGGTTTCACCATGTTGGCCAGGATGGTCTCGATATCTTGACCTCATGATCCGCCCGCCTTGGCCTCCCAAAGTGCTGGGATTACAGGCGTGAGCCACCGCGCCCGGGCTGAAAATAATCTTAAATAACAGTTGTTTCCTCTTATCTCTAAATTTGTAACAGTGAGTGCTTATAACAAAAGACAATGATGCTGCTTCTGTTTGCGTATTTATAAACATAAAGGAATGAAAAGTATCTAAAAAGTCACCACCTATAACTTCAGGTAGGGATGGTTTAGGCTTCAAATAACAGAATACCTAACTAATACTTGCTAAAGCAATATAGATGCTTATTTTCTCACACTGAAGAAGTCTGAAAAAGGCAATTACGTGATTTGTGCAGCAACCTTGTCCTTTGTTCTCATTGGATTTTCATCTTGAGCTTGTAACAACCACACAATACATGGCACAATCCCAGCATCACGTCTTCACACTAGTAATCTGAGAAAGGGGCAAACAGAATAGGACTTTCCCTTATAGCAGAGATTGCTGGATGGTCCTGCCAGGCTTGTCCTAATTAGGATTCAACCCGTGGTGCTGGGTTTATTGCTGCAATGAACAAGACTGGGCCTCTCAGAGTAAGAATAAAAGGCAAAATGTCAAACTTAGGTGCCTTTTTCTGGAACCTAAAAATTGCCATTTGCACTCCATTGGACATAACTGTGTCACATGGGCACCCTGGAGTGGGAGAGAGGCTGAAAAGTAAATATCAATAACTGGATAGCCTTTCCTGGCTTGTCCTAATTAGGATTCAATCCCTGGTGTTGGGCACATTGCTGTAATGAACAAGACTGGGGCTCCCTGAATAAAAATAAAAGGCAAAATGGCAATTGAGTAGAAAATAACCATGTCTGTAACAGCTACCAAGGAACCATTAGACTTCTTTCTCTTCTCCATTATATTTCACATATGTCAACTAACCTGTTCGTGAAATTGGCCTAAACTCTCAACTTGATAACTAGGGCATATAAGAAAAAAGGTGAGAGTGTGTGCAAAATCTCTCCTTTATTTAACTAATTTATACTACATTTTGGGGGTAAGTTTTCCAATAAAAATATTGCAGTGGGCTGAATAAATATTGGCACCAAAACGATACGTCCACACGTGAATATCTAAAAACTCAATGTACCTTGTTTGGAAATCTTTGAAGGAATAATTAAGGATTTTGAAATAAAGAGATCATCACAAATCATCTAGATGAGCCTGAAATCTAATGCCAAATGTCTTATAAAAGAGAAAGAGGAGAAATTTGACAGAAAAGAAGGAGGCAATGTGACCCCAGAGGCAGAGATTGGAGTAATGCAGCTACGAGCCAAGAAACACGTGGAGTCACTGATGCTGAAATTATCACCGATGCTGAAATTTTCAAGGAAATAAACTGTCCCTAGAGCCTTTAGAAAAAAAACGGATACCTTAATTTCAGGCTTCTGGTCTCCAAAGCTGTGACAGAATAAATTTTTTTTGTGTGTGACGGAGTTTCACTCTTGTTGCCCAGCCTGGAGTGCAATGGCGCCATCTCGGCTCACTGCAACCTCTGACTCCTGGGTTCAAGCGATTCTCCTGCCCCAGCCTCCCAAGTAGCTGGGATTACAGGCATGTGCCAACATGTCTGGCTAATTTTTGTATTTTTAGTAGAGATGGGGTTTCACCATGTTGACCAGTCTGGTCTTGAACTCCTGACCTCAGGTGATCCTCCCACCTTGGCCTCCCAAAGTTCTGGGATTACAGGTGTGAGCCACCGTGCCCTGCCAAATTTCTCTGGTTTTAAGCCAATAAGTTTATACTTTGTTACAGGGGCCTCAGAAAATAATATCATAATAAATTTTTGCTTGTTGGAATGCAGTGCAGATTTGTTTACCTGTTTTACATATTGCAATCTTCCTATTTCTCTCTTATTATTTCTAACACTTTAGCTTCTGTTTTCCATTGTTAACAATCGTATCGTTTGCAGATAAAAAGGCACTGGTTTCTTCCTTCCCAACCTATTATTTTCTTTCCTTATCTTATTCTGTTGGCAGGGCATTGCAAGAAAATGTTGCAGAGAATCAAGAATAAGGGCATTAATGATAATAAGCATCTCTGTCTTGCTCCCGATATTAACAGCAAAACTGCTAAAATTTCACCAGTGGGAGTAAGTTAGCTCTAGGTTTTGGGTAGATACACTTTATCACAAAAGGAAGTTTCCTTGTTTTCCTAGTTAAGAATTAAATGGGTGCTAAATTTATATGGTTGATTACATTTTATCCTTTAATCAGTTATTATGATTATAACTATAGATTTTCTAATAATATTGTCACCTTTATATTTTTGTGATAAACTCAGTCAGCCATTTAATATTATCCTTGAAATACATTGCCAAATCAGTTCGTTAATTTATAGAAGACTTTTTTGATGTTGTTTCATTTTTATTCAGGTCAGACTGGCCTGCCAATGTTCTTATTTTTTCCCTTTCTCCCTCTTTTTCTTTCTTCCTCTTTTTGTTTCCTTATCTGTCTTCTGTATCAATATTAGAATTCATATTAAATAATTTATTCTGTAATATCTAAAAGAACTTGGCAAGATATCTAAAATATCTTGTCCTGATGATTTTATGTATGGAATAATTTTGTCTTTTCATACATTTACTTCATTGCCAAAGGCTTTTTGTTCTTATTTTTCAGTTTTGAGAAGATATGTATCATAATTTATTTAAAGTGCTGAAATCTGTTCACATAACATTGTTCCTGCTTTTATCTTGCCCCATTTGTAATTATGTCCCCTTGTTATGTATAAAATTATTTTAACTATTGATCTTAGCAATGCTTTGCATCATTTTTATTACCCTTTTAAAAAAAGACAATGTTTTCCTGGAGTCTCTCTGTCTCTATTTCCCTTTCATTTATTCTTACCTTTATTATTTCTTGTCAGCAATTTTATTTAGATGTACATGTTATTTTCATAACTTTTTATATAATAAGTCATAAAAACTATTGGGTAAGAAATGAGATTGCTCATGTACAGGGCTTAAAATTAGGCTTGGGACAAAGTCAACATTATATAAACATTTGCCATGATGATTATTGATGATGATGATGATGATTGGGATAGCATATGATAAAAAACAAGCTTTTCTTTGAATTTATGTGGTTAAATATGAGTTTTATAAGCAGTATATAGGTGAATTTTTTGTTGTTGTTCACTTTTAACCCTCATCTTCCAACAGGTACATTTGATCCATTATGTTTATTTTGAATGTTGATGTATTTTTGCTTGTTTTTATAATCTTTCTGCTTTCTATTTGTCCCATTTTTTTAAAAAAAAAACATTTCCCCCCACCCCAAACCCCTGCTTTTGTGGACTGACTGTGCTCTTAATCATTTTATTTTACTGATTTGTAACCCATATATTCTACTTCTATTTTTTAGTAATTAATTGGAATTTCACTTGTATACTTACCTTAAAATATTCCTCAATAATTTAAGACCACAAATTAGATATTACCTATCATTTGATAAAGCAATGCTTTTTTATTTTTTATATTTTTTATTTCTTTGACTTTTAAGTTCCAGGGTACACGTGCAGGATGTGCAGGTTTGCTACATAGGTAAACATGTGCTATGGTGGTTTGCTGCACTGATCAACCTGTCACCTAGGTATTAAGCCCAGCATCCATTCGTGTGTGTGTTGCTCGCCTGCCCCCACATCATGTCCATGTGTTCTCATCGTTTAGCTCCCACTTATACATGAGAACATAAAACAATGCTTTTTAATATTTGGTAACAAATTTATGTACTTTTCAATCAGCATTTCTTCTTGCTGAAAAGTCTGAAATGATTTTTCCCTAGGAATTTTTTATCTTTCTGAAGTTCAAACTTTAGTAATTATTTTATTGTATCATGGTGTTAAATTTTCTCACTTTATCTTAAAATGCCTTTATTTAATCGTTGTTCTTGAAAAAATTTTTGTACCTATATTTGTTGTTAGTCATTTTGCCTCATCGCTTTAAATATATTATTCTACAGCCTCTCTGGTTTTTATACTTATTGTTAAAAGATATGTGATTTTTCCAACAGTTGTTCCTATTCAGGTAAATTCTAGATGTTTAAAAAAAACTCTGTTTTTTATGTTTTGTAGATTTTCTCTATCCTGCTGGGTATTTATTGTGCCTATCAGTGGTGTAGTATCTCTTATCAGACCTGCAAAAATCTCAGACATTACCTATTCAGATATCGCCTTTGCTCTTTTCCTCTTTTCTATTCATGATTAGACATCTTTTAGAGTTTTTATTCTGTCCTCCATTTTTAAAAAATTTTTTTCAATTTTTTGTCTCTTTTTCTCTCTGGCTAGATTCCGAAAAATCTCCTCATATCTATCTTCCAGTTCTCTAAAATGCCTCTTCAGCTCTATCTAATCTGTTGTTTACCCTATTTACTTTTTATTTTTAACAATTTTACTTTTCATTCTTAGCAGTTATATTTAATTAATTTTTCCAACTCTATAACCTCATTTTCTAATGAAAATTATTAATTTCTCATTTTGAGATTTTTATTTTTAAAATAATTTTATATAAAGATGTTTTATATTTCATGTCTTGTAAATCCAATGTATAATTACTTGGGGTTACAAATTTGTGATTTAATTATGTCTGTTAGTGCCCACTTGTGGGAATGATTCCTTTGTACATAGTTGGTTGTCTTACATTGGTATCTCATATTTGTTTGGTTTTATTTTATGGCAACCCTGGGGGCCTAACAACAAATGCTCTCTTCCAGCTACACTTCATCTTTACTGCTGCTGGAAGTCAACAGGTGTTGTTATCTTGATACTCCTTGAGTATACTTGAGGTTACCTGCTTAATGGAACAGTCTCTGATTCAACTGCCCTAACTCTGAATGAGACAGAGAGTTTGTTCCCTGAAAACAGCACTGCTTTAGGCATCTTCCCTTGGGTTAACCCTGTCATATGCTCATTAATCTGGTTTGAAATTTACACTATTTCATTTTAGATGTGTCATGGAAAGGGCCCATAGAAGTTATCTTGTACACATGCAGCAGTATATTAATAATATATGTTGTCACCTCCAACCCCAGCCCCCAGCTGAGATCTAGATCATGGGTGTCAAACCTTTTGGCTTCCCTGGCCACATTAGAAGAACTGTCTTGGGCCACACATAAAATACACTAACAACAGGTGATTAACAACAACAACGAAAAAGTCCATGCATAATTTTCATGACATCCACCACCACAGCTAAGCAAAAATTCCTTGCATTCAAAGGGTTGGATGCAGCTGAAGATGTTTTATTATGAAAGGGAATCTCTGATGAGCTGTTTGCCATATTATTAAAAGATATCCATCCTACTACTTTTTTACTATTATTTCACTTAACCAGATTGGAAAGAAATTTTATTTGATATCCGCAGCTCTAACCTAGCAATGGAATTTGAGTAATATGTTCCCTACAGCCATATTTTAATATGTAAAAAAGCTTATATCCCTGAAGTTCAATATTATGACACTATACACTATGTTATGACATATCTATTTTCTTAGAATGAAGTGAGAAAGGGAAGACTATGGTATTCTCAGAACTTGGGACTCAAACTCATATTATTGCAGGGACAAAACAGATACTGTTAGTGAATAAAGTGGGTTTAGCATAGACTCTCAAGACATGTCTCCTGTATAGTAGGGAAGCCAGTTCTCTATTCCAATTATTTTATGCTAACAGAATGGAACACTGGTTTTGTCTGGTCTTATATTTTTTAAAACAAATTAAATTTCTGATTTTGTTTTAATAAGGCTCACTATATGCACTAAAAACTCATTTCACGAATTTGAAAATGCTATGTTAAAACAAAAAAACTAGAAATTTTACTTAGATTGTAAAATAACATCAGTTACTTTTAAAGTTTAGAACTTTGAGAAGACTTTAAAATCATCACTGTAATATACACATTTCACATACCTAAAGTTCATGACATACTTAATGTTTACATATGTTGACAAAATTGCAAGTCATACCACCATTTAGTCAAAATATCAGAATACTGACACCTAATCTACTCTTCTTTATTATTTATTTATTTTTTGAGACAAAGTCTCACTCTGTTACCCAGGCTGGAGTGCAGGGGCGTGATCTTGGCTCACTGCAAACTCCGCCTCCCGGGTTCAACTGATTCTCCTGCCTCAGCCTCCCAAGTAGCTGGGACTACAGGTGCCCGCCACCATGCCTGACTAATTTTTATATTTTTAGTAGAGACGGGGTTTCACCATGTTTGCCAGGCTGGTATCGATCTCCTAAGTGATCCGCGTGCCTCGGCCTCCTAAAGTGCTGGGATTATAGGCGTGAGCCACCGTGTCTGGCCCCACTCTATTTTCAGCGTTCCAGGATCCAGCCCAACAGAGCAAGTAATACTTAAAATAACTGCATAAAATCCTAATTACTACAATGTTCTTAAAACTATTTTTGTACCACATATTGCATTATTCAATTTAAATCTAGCATAACCTCCAGAGTGTGTATAGATCTGCTGCAAAAGTATTAGTTTATAACAAATATAGAAAGCTTAGAATCTAAGTTTATAAACCAATAATAATGCTAAAATATCATGTACTACTAACTAACAAGTCTGGAGCTAATAGTCTTCATTCCCAAAGAACTTTTGGAGGCACCATACTTTGTCTACAGTAGCCAGTTAATTTTATTTCATAATTTTTATCAGATCTTAATCTCAGCAAGATTTCTTCTTTTTCTTCCTCTAAATCCTTTGTTGGAATCTGAAATACGCACAAAGTAACATATTTTTGTGTATACTAATTTATATGAATTGCAGTTGGTCATTAACAAGATTTAAGTGGAAGGCATTCAATATTGCTTAACTGAATATTCATTAATTTAACAAGTCTTATCTTACCTACCACAGGTAAGATGCAATATGAGGTACAATGGTGAGAATACAAAGAGGGTGATATCATGATATCAAGGTGTCAAGGTTCAGCTTTTATATTCTTAAGACATTGTGTGTCTTGACCAAGTCACATTAACGACACAGGTTTCAAGGTTCTTACCTGTACAATAAAGATAATAATGGCATGTGTTGCTGTGTGGCTTGAATCATAATAGTGTAACATGCATCACATATAGAAAGTGAACAACAAATTTTATAAAGTCTTTATGAATCTTCTGTCATTTTATAACAACGATACCATGGAATGGGTACTATCATATCCCCATCTTACAGGCAAGGAAACTGAACTCAGAAAGATTAGGTAATTTCCCAGCTGTCCTGCTAATATGTAGCAGAGGTGGGCTTAAATCCTGCCTAATTCTGAACATTTTTACTTCTGTGACCTCCACTTACACAGCAGAATGTATAAGGTGATATTTAAATGCCAAATGGTATTATTGATAAGTGATAAATAATGTCAATGAGTGAAAGTGCAGATAAATAAAAGCTTCACAGAGCAGATAGAATTTTCTTCAAAGAAGAAGGAAAAAAATGAAGTATTTAGTTTAGTAACAAGGGTGTAAAAATCACAAAACAGAAAATGCGGTATTTCTCAGATTGTATTTTGCAAAATGACCTGGGAAATATTGCCAGTTTGAGAGATGCCATGTTTCTCTAGAATTTTGACACCGTATCAAAAAGGGGATTTTATTACTCCTCTTCTTGAAACTCACTGTACCTTTGTGATCGCTTTAACAAATAAAATAAAAAGACCAGCAAAATCATTAGAAGCTTTATTTTTTCATGTATGTGTTACATAGTGTGTTAAGGTTCTCCAGAGAAACAGAACCAATAGGATGTGTAGAAATGTAGAGTGAAAGGTTTATTTTAAGTTTTTGGTTCACATGATTGTAGAGGCTGACAAGTCTGAAATTGGCAGGGAAGACCAGCAGGCTGGAGACTCAGGCAAGAGTTGATGCTGTAGTTTTGAGTTTAAAGGCAGTCTGGAGGCAGAATTCTTTCTTCCTTCATGGACCTCAGTCTTTTCTCTTAAAGTTGTCAACTGATTAGATGAGGCCAAATCACATTATGGAGGGTAATATGCTGGACTAAAAGTCTACCGATTTAAATGTCAATCACATGTAAAAAAATGCCTCCACAGCAATATCTAGATCAGTGTTTGACCAAACAACTGGGTACCATAACCTAGCCAAGTTGATGCATACAATTAACCATAACACATGAGTTGGAGTAAATGTCAACAGAATTACAGTTGACTCTTGAATAACACAGGTTTGAACTGCATGGATCTACTTATATGTGGATTTTTTCCAAGCAAACACAGATAGAAAACAGTACTCATAGGATGTGAAACCCAAGTATGCAGAGGTTCCACAGGGCCAACTGTGGGACTTGAGTATGAGTGGAATTGGATATATGCAGAGATGTGGGGTGACCCTGGAACCAATCCCTCGAGTATACTGAGGGAAGACTATATAAGAAAAACCAATAAGTGATTTAGGGCAATAAAAGAATATATATATATATATATTTTTTTTTTCACATAAATGCACATTGTGATAAGGGCTATGCAGAGACTATCAGAGTTTTGGGTGCCAAGAAGGCAGCCAAGTAGAAACACAAAGCAGGTAGCCATCTTGTACTCATAGGAAAGGCTTGTACTGTGAGTAGAAGCTTTTTAGTTCCTCAGCATGTATTTGGTACATGCGGTCAGAGGATATAGAGAAAAGAGAGAGAAAAGGAGAGGCATGGGATGTACTGACTTCCTAGGGCTTGCCTAACAAAGCACCACAAACTTGGTGGTTAAAAACAAGTTGTTGCTTCCAGAGAGGAAGAAAACCAGGCAGTCGGGTACTATGGTGGAAAGATGGAGTGGAATAGGGCTCTGTCATGAAGAGTAAATAAGAAAACCCATACAAAACACACAGCTTAGTGTCTTTTAAGTACTCAAGTTTTGTTGTTTTTACTGTTATTGAGCAGAAAGATGCTAATTTTCTAGAAATGCTTTTTAACCTACATTGAAAATTATTCTGCTGGAACTGTCCTGCTATATGGTTAAGTGATGGACGTTTAAAAGAACTGTAAAAAAAATTGTTTTCCTGAATAATGTAATTTATATGATCTTTATTAAGAAATAGAGATCAAATTGAAAGTCCATTTTAGGATACTCTCAATATTTTAGCTTGTTTAAATTTACTACTTGGTTTTTTGAATGGATCAAATAATGCCTTGCCTTGATGTAGTGATTAGTAGAAAAAGATTGGAGTGATAAACAGAATTGCAATGATTTAAGTTACTTTCTAAACTGTAGCATAAGGAATTATGTAATTCTAATGATGTACAAAATATAAAACTAAAATTAAAAAAACCCTGCAGTGCAGACTAATAATATAGGACTAATACTGTAGCATACACATGCACGTGAAAAAATATGTAAACATATATATGTATATAATTTGTCACCTCTTGAGGTCATTTCAAATCTCAGTTCTGTGGGTAAGAATTGAACCTCATTCTGCGTGGCTGAAATTTTTAGGGAAGTCTTAAAAGTTTAGAAAGATGACATATCGGAATATTAAAGTAGAGGTTTACTAAATGTCTTAATGTAAAATAGATGAGAACTCCCTTGAAATTATTATATTTCCAATACTTCAAGCTTGATATTAACATGCTCGCAGTTAACAGATTGCCGTTTCAATGACCTGTACAATTTAGGCAAAACCAACAAGAAGGGCTTCCAAAGAAGAGCCTTAGGGGAAGCAGGCTGAATTGCAACCAGGCACACTCTTTCTATGGTAAACTATAATGATGTTAAATGGGCTCGAGAATATATGAGTAGGAACTTTACACGTTAAAAAAAAGCATATTTAATAGGAAAGTATGACTGTGTGGGAAACTGGGAGTTCTTATATTCTTTTTTTTTTTTTTTTTTTTTTGAGATGGAGTTTTGCTCTGTCACCCAGGCTGGAGCTCAGTGGCACGATCCCGGCTCACTGCAACCTCCGCCTCCCAGGTTCAAGCTATTCTCCTGCCTCAGCCTCCCAAGTAGCTGGGACTACAGGCATGTGCCACCATGCCTGACTAATTTTTGTATTTTTAGTAGAGATGGGGCTTCACCATGTTAGCCAGGCTGGTCTCGAACTCCTGACCTCAGGCGATTCACCTGCCCCGGCCTCCAAACGTGCTGGGATTACAGGCATGAGGCACCATGCCCGGCCCTTATATTATTAATTAATAAATGCATATCTGTGATCCACAGCTGGCAGTCTCCATGGTTTTTGGATCATGCATCCCCAAAGCATTGTGTGTGTATACACATGTATCAAATATTTTATTTATCTACATATCTGTTAAAAAATGTATATACAATCATCCCAAATATAATTTTTAAAGAATTAGGTAGAAAATTAATAGAAGAAAATGTTCAAATATTCATATGAGCAGTCTATATTCACACCACTTTGGGGAATTCTTGCCTTAGGGCATTAGAAGAAAGATTGATCTGTCACAGTGGTCAGGACTGAGGGCTCCAGGGCCAGGCTACATGAGTTTCAGTGGCTCCACCACTCAATCTGTAAATCTCAGGCTGGTATGAGATTATCGAAGACTGTTGGGCAATGTGCTTCTGAAACCTAGCTCCTCTCCACCCCTCACTAACATACAGAGATAGCACTAGAAATAGGCACATTGCTAGGATGTATTTCTAGATTAGAATTGGGTCCCTCCATAATAAGTGGAAGTACCTGCCCTTGTAGAATGACCAGCTTGTCCCTGTTTATTTGGCATTTACTCAGCTTAGCACTAAGTTTCTCATACCTACTTTCTAAACCAGTTGCAGGCAGACCAAATGGTCAGCAATCATGTAACAGCAAAAGGTAATGAATAAAATATTAACACATTGTGCCTAGCGTACTTAGAATTCCCCTAGAGAGGTTCACTAAATAAATTGAAGCTTTTAATTTTATAGTTATTAAATATAAAGGAATGCTTGAGAAAATGAGAAATTGCCAAGGCAAATTAAACCCTAGCTATTCAACATGTGTGTCTTTGAACCAATAATGCCCACATCAACTGGGAGCTTGATAGAATTGCAGGATCTCAGGCCCCACCCTGGACTCGCTGGACCAGAATCTACATTTTAACAACGTCACCTGGGTATCTCTATGCACAGCGAAGTTTCGGAGGCACTCACATAGAACAGCAAATGCATATTCCCCATTGATTTCCACATGGATCTCAATTGTGGTAATACATCAAAGTCACCTATGGAGCTTTTATAAGCTTTTATACCTGTGTCATTTCAGGATATTCAGGCTTTGGAGGGTCATCTTGGAGTTTTATAAACTCCGTAAGTGTTTCTGATTTATAATGCAAGCTGAGGACCTCCAATTTAGAACAAATACGGGATTATTTTTGTTTAACCTAGTCACCTTCTTAGACCTCTGTACCATACACAGATATTATTAGAGTTTACTGCAATGATTTAAGCCAGTGGTTCTCACACTGAAGTATGTAATAGGATTACCCATAAGATCCGCTAAAGTACAAAGTACTGAGCTCTACCTACAGAATTGCCGATTCATGGGACCAAATTTGTTTTTCTAATAAGTTCCCAAGTGATACAGATGCTTTTGGTCCTGGGACTACACTGTGATAACCACTGATTCGGTAACCTGGCTCTGAAGCGAAAGAATCTGGTTTGAATGGTAGCACTCTCACCTACTAACTCCTTGGCCTTGAATGAGCTGCCTCACTTTTCCTCCTTTTGTTCTTATATCTGTAACATATGGATAATTTTAGTATGTAACTTATAGGGATAAATGAGATGATTTATGTAAAGCATAGTGCCTATTCTTTGGTAATGCTTACCAAGATAGTGATCACTTTTGTTTTCCAAAATTAAAGAATACTGAAGAGTTAATATGCATTTTGGCTATTGAATAATCTTATTCCTCAGGATGCTAGACTTACAACATGCTGTGCATAAAAAGATTTAAAGACCAATTAGGGATGAAAAAAATTACATATGGCTTTTCCCTCTTTCTTGCAGTTACAAAGCTCATTAGTTTGTTAAAGGCCCCAAGAAGTTCTGCAGTATAGAAATCTGTTTAACTTAATATTTTCTAGATTTAAATTCCTTGGAACTAATGTTCTTTGGAATAAGCTTTGAAAAGCACTGGTTTAAACAGTTCTTTTAAAATGAGATGGTGTATTTTTTGTACATTGATTTATCAACTCCAGAAAATGCTCCCACAAATTAATCAGTATTTGACTGTAAATGCAGTGTACTGTCTGGTAAGCAATCTTATGAGAATGAATGAAAGAATGTCATGCAATTGAAAAGGGGTTAAAAACAATGGACAGAAGACAATCTCCTATGCTCAACCAGGTCTCTTGCAAAGCCCAGATAATGGTGCTAAAACTCATTGCCTGAAGTTTGATGAACCACAGGAAATGGTTACCAAGATTCTAAGCCTAGAGTATATTATAAATACATGTCAAATTGCTTTTAATGACTTTTCTTTTTATATTTCAAGGAATCCCAGGGCTTAAAAGAATCAGAGAGACCTACTATTGAATTTATTAATAAATAACTTTATTCATTCAGTCTACCATCTTGCTTATGTCTTAGGTGAACTCATTCAGACCCATAGCTTTAAACTCATCTGTAGGTTGATAATACTTTCATTTATAAAACTAGTCTCGGTTGCAGAGAGCCGAGATTGCGCCACTGCACTCCAGACTGGGCAACAGAGCGAGACCCCGTCTCAAAAAAAAAAAAAAAAAAAAACTAGTCTTGACTTATTCTTTAACTCAACCTATATATCTAGCCACTGATTTGACATCTCTGATGAAATGTCTAATAGGATCTCAAACTCAGATTGTCTAAACTTGAAATCTTGATTCATCCGAACTATTCCCTTTCTTATGTTTTCCTCCTCCATTGCTCTTACAGTCTTCTCTAACTTGCTAAATGGCAATTCCATCATACCATTTCCTTGTGCAAAAAGCCTTGGCATCTTCTTTCTTTTCACACCTCACATTATTCAATTCAACACCACGTATATCAGATCTGTTTGTAAATATACTCAGAGTCCAGCTTCACCTAACCACTCTCATGACTGTTACATAGTAAAAACAACCACTGACTATTGCCTATACTAGTCTCTATATTTTCAAACTGGTCTGCTTTCCATCCTGACAACCCAACAATCTAGTCTGACAGAGCAACCACAATGATCTTTTTAAAAGGAAAATCTTGTCACGAATTTCCTTGTTCAAAACCCTAAAACAGCCTAAAATCCTTCATCTCACTTTGAGTAAAACTGGAAACACTCATTATGACCTCCAAGGTGTGTGATGTGGTCCCCTCCCACCTCTGACTGCATGTTCCATCATTTTCCTCATCCCCATGCCTACTGCCCTCTGTATTCTTCCTGGGATATATTGAGTATATTCCCACCTCAATACCTTTGCATGTGCTATTTTGTTTGAAATACTCTTTCCTCAGATGTATGTAGGTGGCTTGCTCTTACTTTGTTTAGGTCTCTGCTTAATGTCAATTAACAGATAGGGCTTCTATGATTACTCTTTCTTAGCTAAAACGAATTCTCTCTACCCTTAACTTACATAGCAGTTACTACTCTGGCATATAAATTTATTTGTTTATTATCTATTTTCTTTCAACAGAATGCAAGCTTCAGCACCATTTACTCACTACTCGACTCCCACAATCTAGATCAGGATCTTAGCACATAGTGGGCATCAATAAATGTTTGCTGAATGAATGAGTGGCCTCCTCTTTCTAAGCCTCTATCTCAAACTCTTACCTACAGTTAAATTTTTACCAAATCGTCTTCTGCCCATGTGAGAGATATTACTATAATTATCTTTCTAAACTTAGTCTCACCACTTTCTACCCCTTTGGAGATTTCAGTACAGTTCAAACTGCTCAAATTCTTATTATCTACTTCATAGCAGGTGCTATAGTCAGTAATAATGCATTATATATTTTTAAAACGACCAGCCAGGCTTGGTGGCTCACACCTGTAATCCCAGCACTTTGGGAGGCCAAGGTGGGTGGATCACAAGGTCAAGAGATCGAGACCATCCTGGCCAACACGGTGAAATCCTGTCTCTACTGAAAATGCAAAAATTAGCTGGGCATGGTGGCGCGTGCCTATAATCCCAACTACTTGGGAGGTTGAGGCAGGAGAATCACTTGAACCAGGGAGTTGGAGGTTGAAGTGAGCTGAGACTGTGCCACTGCACTCAAGTCTGGTGACAGAGTGACACTCTGTCTCAAAAAAATAAAAATAAAAAATAAAAATGACCAAGGGAGTAAGTTTCAAATGTCTCACCATAAAAAAATAATAGGCAAGCAAGGTGAGGGATATGTTAATTAGTTTGATTTAATCATTCCTCACTGTATGCATATATCAAAACACCACATTGTGCCCCATAATATATACAATTATGATCTGTCAATCAAAAATAATACTAATAATTTGCAAAAAATAAAAAAAAAAAAGAAAAGTTCTTCTTTGGTGCTAGAACCTGATCAAACTTCCTTTTCTTACATTTCCTATGATCAGGTGATGAAATGAAGGAAGCAAAGATACTGCCTGAGATGAAGCTCTCAGAGTACTGACCTCTTTTTTTTTTCTTTTTTTTTTTTTTTTTCATCTTAATTCCTTATGAAACTTTTGGCATTGTGCTCACTTTTATGTCCAAGGATCTGGTCACACATCGGTTAGGACAGTCAAAAACAATACCCAAAAGAGCAGCAACAAAATTGCATATTTCTATAATAAAACATCATTATGTTACTATACATTGCAATAACTTGGATTAAAGTGTCTCCGAGATACTGAAAGGTATCTGGCTTAAAGGTGGAAAGGTGGCTGGCTTAAAATCTTGATGTATGATTAAAGAGGAGGGAAACTGTATAAGCCAGAGCTAAAAATAGGCAAGTCTTGTTTTATTCTGACATTTCAGCCAGCAGTTCCAGCCCTCTTCTGGGAAATCAAGTATCAAACAGGAGGACAGTGGCTCTCTTCCTTGTTTATAATCTACAGGGACCTGCTGATGGTTGGCAACACTTGAACAATTTAAAGAGCCCGACCTCTATGCTCTAAAAGCATTTCAGTGAATATATAAAAATCTCCATGAGGACTCCAATGTTTGGAAACATAATGGCAAAATTTTGATTGAGGCCCAGTATTGATTAACCTCTTTAAAGTTCTGGCAGTGACATTTCTGCCATTAAGCAGTTTGTCCATGCAGTTAATATTGGGAAAACTGTACACCAGCGGTCAAGGGCTTAAAAAGAAAGGGCCTTATTGTCTTTTTTCAAATTCCCCTTTTGGCAGAATATAGTCTCTCCAATGTTTCCACCAGCCACTATCAAAAGTACGTGCATGGCTTCGGGATCAACAAGAGAGCCCCCAAAAAAGCTCTGGAAAAGAAGAAAAGAGATCAATTTTTTTTTCCTCCTCTAACTTTTCTTACCTGCTACTTCATACATCACTGGAGTGCTCAGTGATTTCATTTCTTATCTGTATAATGTGAAAGATTAAGTCTGTGCTCTACCTCTCAAAGATAGTTGCTAAGAATGAATAAAGTTGATGTTGCCTCGGGTCTTGAAATAGTCTGGAATAGACATTCTGGCCATGACCTTGGCATAACGGGAGATTCATTCCCACGTTTTGTATTCCCCAGCTCAAAACAGGTATCTGGTGGAGTCTACTCCTACTCACATAGAGATAAAAAGATCCCAATCTTCCAGCCTGTGGTAGAGTTGGTGATAAGACAGCACAATATGGGAAATGTTTTTTAGACTATCTTCCATGAATCATAGGTCTTAGGAAGACGTGGCTTTAGCAAGTTGTTATTTGTATTCCCATACTATATTTAAAGAAATTGAAACCCAGAAGAGTTCAATTCTCTACCCCAAATTATAATGTAATTAAGTGGTGGAAATAAAATATGATCACTGAAGCAGTGCTATTTCCATTTCACCTTTCTTTCATCATGTCTGTGGGTAACTTATTTCTCACAATCTGGGAACCCGCATTTAATTTTCTCCCCTTTTGGTACCTCCCTCTACAGACAAATATGAGATAAGGTGATTGAAAATAAATGTATAAACGTTAATAAACTTTGGCCAGACATAATCCAAGTCTCAAGGTTATAAATGTCATTTTCAAATGTGTGTATCCTAGATCTTTATTTTGCTGGTTTCAATTGAATAAGTTTTCAGCTCTAATGCTCAGACAAAATTCATAAATGATTCAAAAACTAAGTTATATTGATGAACTCAAAATAAACAATGGTATCGGTAAAAAGATATAGGAAACCTTGGGGAGAAGGTAGAAACTGAGATGACGGGGGCACATGGAGAGCCTTCTGGGGATGTTTATCATGGTCTATTCATAAATGAGGATGCTTTTTACATGGGTGTGTTCAACTTGTAAAAGAATCTGACCATTTATGAGCTTTTCTGTATGTGTGTGATACACCAATACATATATATACACACACAGATATATACATATATATACATATATATACACATATGTGTATATATATCTGTATTATAAGATATATACATATAAGATATGTATACATATAAGATATATGTGTATATCTTCTTATAATTTAAGATCTAAGATGAGAGGATGCAGGGAATATACCTTTTCTCCAAACTAGTACATTGTTTTTTGTAAGGAATATTTGTAGAAGTTCATCTATGTAAATTTTGCAAGCTACATTTTTAGGGTCTTTTGACTTTGGAGAGTCAGCTATTTTAAACAGACTTAAAAGAGCAGAATATTCATCTCCAAATGACCTTCCTTGGAGAAGAGAAGACAAAGATAAAGCACCAGAGGTGTTTTTACCTCCAGATGGCATGTGAAATAGTATTTTCTCCCCTGCGTTGGCCGAGGTAGGAAAGTTTCACTTTGCCTTAGGGTGATAAATTCACTGGCTGCTAATCACGATGGGTCTTGTGTGATATGGCATCTGTCTAACAAGAGCTAGATGAAGACTGCTATGTCTTTGACACCTAGTAGACAACTGAACAGCCTTTAGATAGCAATGATTTCTGTCACAGTCAATCTACCACAAACAGATGGCAAGAAGTGACTTAGAGTTGAAAGGTTTCATCTTCTGCCCCTAATCCCTAAGCTATCTGGCCCTGTCCCCTTCTTCTTTTGACAAATATGATGTTTCATTCTTTATCGACGCGAGACAGTACATGTGGTCTCTTTATTTAAATCTGAAGTGACCCAGGTAAGCAATTGTTGAGAAGTTTCTTTAGATATATCCAAGCTAAACAGATTAACTTCATAGTACCAGGCTACTTTTTCCCTACACCATAGAAAAACAGGCAGCTCATGGAGGAAAATAGGAGTATCAAGAAGAGAAAAAACAAACAAAAAAATAAACACTGCTAAAACTCAGAGAATGTTTACAAGTAATTCCCTAATATAGAGGTCATTTCGTTTTCTTGAATACATGAATATTTTATAAACTGGTAACATCAGGGCTTTCTATCCTTAAATATCTGTCCAAAATGTTTTATGTCATCTGTTGGCAAATGATTTTAACATTCACTTTTCACCTGATATATCTTCCCGCTCGTACAATTCATTTCAGAGGCATAACTTGTTTTCTTTGCTAAGATTTCATTTCCTCCCATCTCAGAATTTGATGAAATCTATTTCTTAGTTCCTCGTTTTCCAGTGAAAGCTGACAACAAGTATCAGACCAAATGTAGCTGTCCCATATGAAGTAATTCATTTCTGTCAAAGATTAGACATTATTTTTTTTCTTGACATAAGATGACTGATACTGTTCTGTTAGATCCAGAGGGGCAACTTAACCACTTAAGGACTAAGACTCATTTTAAAAATATATATTCCATTCAAAAGTTTAGATTTTGATTCAGGGGCGTTGAAAGGCAGATGCTGTCAAGAAATGAGATAGTAATAAGAGTTGAAAAAAGCAGAACCATTTAAAATTAATACCATTTTTGGCCAAGAGCAGGGAAAGGGCAATTCTGGTCTTAAAAGAGGTCTGAATTATTTGTCCATTTTGTAGTTATGACTGAGAGAAACATAGCTCTTCTTACAGCATGCATTTAGCATCTCTAGCAACAAGAGGGTAGATCTCATCCTAGCCTAGCCAAAGGAATATAAAAAATTAGGCATCTTTAACAATACAGTGAAGGCTTGGGGCGGTGACTCACACCTGTAATCCCAGCAGTTCGGGATGCCAAGGCAGGCGGATCACGAGGTCAGAAGTTCAAGACAAACCTGACCAATATGGTAAAACCCTGTCTCTACTAAAAATACAAAAATTAGCCAGGCGTGGTGGCATACACCTGTAGTTCCAGCTACTCAGGCGGCTGAGGCAGGAGAATCGCTTGAACCCGGGAGGTGGAGGTTGCAGTGAGCTGAGATGGTGCCACTGCACTCCAGCCTGAGCAAGAGCGAAACTCCATCTCAAAAAAAAAAAAAAAAAAAAAAAATACTGTGAAGTCTATATATAATATGCTTTAGTATCCCGAAGGAAAATTTTAGAAAGAAAACTCAGATAATGCAAGGAGCCCTAGAAGTTGAACCATGTGCTCTTTTTTCTATTTCTTTTAAAGCATTTTAGCAAGTGTTGTTGTTTGAAAGAAAATGGGAATCTTTAAAGCTGTAAGCTGTTTCCTGACAGATAGGAAGCCCATTTTAGGGAATGGAAAATAAAATCTAATGGATTGGTCTCTATCCACATTCCTACCTTGAACGAAATAGCACAGTTTGAGTGTGCTGTATAGGTTGGACATCTTTGTTGTAATATTTCGTTAACAGAAAAAGTCCTCATGCCAAAAGAAAGCAAATAAGCAGATATCTAGCAAAAGAGCAAAAATAACAAATCTAGTTGAAAAACTACTTCACTACACAAAGTGATAGAGCCAGCCATCAGATGACAATGACTTTTTTTTCCCATTGCTACTAACAAGCTCTGATGTGTCATTTACCTTTCTGAGTGTCAGTTTTTTCGTCTTTCAAATATGAACAATAAATAAAGAAAGTCTCTTTCTTGATTCCTGTAAGGATGAATTTGCAGATCAAATTAGGAGACTGCTTTGAAAAATTAAGAGGTGGTAAGCAGTAGTAAAGGCTTTTTAATGGAGATCTCAGGAAGCTTCTTATTGGCTTAGTCACAGAATCTAGCATTTCCCGTAGATGGTACAGAAAATAAAGATTATTTTACAATGGACTTTTTGTTTTATATCACTACTAGTTATAGCAGGGTATAGATGCAGGAAGTGATTTTCTGATTACTGGTTTACACTGTTAATAGGTTATTTAAGGGGACTGGGGGAAAATAATCAAATTGAGGCCCTACTAGAGTCAGATATTTGGTTAAACACTTGTATACATTATCTCATTTAATCCTCAAAAGAACACTAAGTTTCTAAAATTTTTCCAGAGAACTGAGGCCCTTTAAGAACATAGTGGAAAGAAATTAAATGCTGGTACCTAAATTCCAATCCAACTTTTATTTATTATTTATTGTTTTTTTTGTTTTTTTTTTTTTTTGAGATGCAGTCTTACTCTGTTGCCCAGGCTAGAGTGAAATGGCACAGTCTTGACTCATTGCATCCTCTGCCTCCTGGATTCAAGCAATTCTCCTGCCTCAGCCTCCTGAGTAGCTGGGATTACAGGCACGTGCAACCATGCGTGGCTAATTTTATTTTATTTTATTTGTTTTAGTATTTTTAGTAGAGATTTTTAGAGACCATTTTAACCAGGCTGGTCTAGAACTCCTGACCTCAAGTGATCCGCCCACTTCAGCCTCCCAAAGTGGTGGGATTACAGGTGTCAGCCACTGCGCCCAGCCCCAAGTCTTATTTCTTTTTGTTGTTGTTGTTATTTTTGTTTTATTTTGAGATGGAGTCTTGCTCTGTCGCCCGGGCTGGAGTCCCGTGGCGTGATCTCGGCTCACTACAACCTCCGCCTTATGGGTTCAAGCGATTCTCCTGCCTCAGCCTCCTAAGTAGCTGAGATTACGGTCGCACACCACCATGCCCAGCTAATTTTTGTATTTTTAGTAGAGACGGGGTTTCACCATGTTGGTCAGGCTGGTCTCACAACTCCCGACCTTCTGATCCGCCTGCCTCGGCTTCCCAAAGTGCTGGGATTACAGGCATGAGCCACCACGCCCAGCCCCAAGTCTTTAACAAGAACTAAATGGACACAGTGACTGCAGTCCTCTTCTCTTCCCTTCACACTGTGTGCTGTCACAAGGAAAATCTCAAGCAGTTAACAACACCTGGGCAATGCTAGCAAATGGGACCCCAGAGGAAAGAAGGACCGCACTTATTTACTTAATCATTCACTCATTCATTCAACAAATAGTTATGGAGCAGCTCTTTTGTGCTAAGCATAGTTCTAGGAATCTGAGGAGGAACAGTGAATAAGACAGAAAAAATGTTTCTGCCATTTTGTAGCTTACATTTTATTAGAGAAAATACAAAATAAGCCAGATCACATAAAGAAACTGACATTTTAATTAGCTTTGTATATATGAAGGATAATGCATTTCAAAAGGATTATCAACATTATAGGCATATTCTGAGAGGCCAATATTTGCTTTTATTTGGCTAAAAGTGATACATGCAACGTTCCAAAACACGCTATGTGAAACTGAAATTAAACATATTTTAACTATTATCACCAGGTCATATAGCTTCATGTTTTTAGAAATCTCTTTTTCAATAAAACTTATTTACAGTCTTCTTTTTGTCCTAGATCAATTTCATAGTTTTTGTCGTTAAATAGTTATCAATTACCTATGTGTCTTTGAAAAGTAACTAACTTGCTATATGTAAAGCATGATTAGTTAATATGTCTATACAAACCTTTTCAATTCTGCTATGTTTTTATGAAAAAAATAAAGCAGCAAAATTTCACTATAAATCCCAGATTTGGACTAATTCCCATGAAGCAAAATAGCACAATATCCTTGGGATAATATATTGGTCTTGGTAAAAGTCAGCTTCTTATTAGCTTTCTTGGTTCCTGTATAATGCAATGAGAATTCAAATGTTGGATCTAGTTATTTATCCTTATCTCTTCACCCCCGTTAACTAATTCACTGCCATTTAAATTGAACTTAGCTCGCTCCTCTCCCTGCACATGCATGACTTGACATTTACACTCATTAAATTTCATATTCTACCCCTGAACCCTTTAGCAAAGGAATTTCTACAAAACAACTAGATCTTGTGTTGTTGTTGGGGTGTCATTCCATTTATTTTATTTTCAACTGCAAACTTTACAACATTTATTTAAGTAATATATTAATACCATCTACTACAAACATTAGTCAACTGAACTTCCATCTTCAACTGTGTGGAGATATTTGTTTTATATCCAGAGAAAAATGCGTTAAAAGTCCTAAGATGCAGCTAATTGTTTATATTTTAGAAATTTATAATTTTATATGCAATTTGAATTTATAAAAGGCTACTGAGGCAGAGTGAAAAAGTCATTCCTGTATAAATGTAGTTCATTTTTAAAAGTAACAATTAATATAATTTATTTCTTATGTATCAGTTTGAATACTAGCTTTAGCTAGTGAAGTATACTCTACGATGATTTTGAAAATATACTGTTGAGGCTTCTGAGTATCATCCAGTAAATACTGGGGTTATATTTTTCTTTGTGTGACATTTAGCAATGTCTAATTTTCAGATTTTTAATAAAAATCATTGAAATTAGGTTTATACCTATGTTTTCCTTTTTCAGAGCAGTTGTTTGCCAGCAAAATGACTTCCAACCTAAGCAAATGTAGGTTATTATTTTTGGTGCCTTATGAGATGGGAGACTATGTTACCCAGATCCTTTTTTTTTTTTTTTTTTTTTTTGCTTTGAGATGGAGTCTCACTCTGTCGCTCAGGCTGGAGTGCAGTGGCATGATCTCCGCTCACTGCAACCTCTGCCTCCTAGGTTCAAGCAATTCTTATGCCTCCAGTAGCTTATGTAATTCCAGTAGCTGGAATTACAGGCATGTGACCACACCCGACTCCCAAGTAGCTGGAATTACAGGCACATGCCACCGCGCCTGGCTAATTTTTATATTTTTGGTAGAAACGGAGTTTCACCACGTTGGCCAGGCTGTTCTTGAACTCCTGACCTCAGGTGACCTGACCGCCTTGGCCCCACAAAGTGCTGGGATTACAGGTGTGAGCCACCATGCCCGGCCCTTATCCAGATACTTTAACTCTTTTCCTAATACATTAAAACTCAGTCCTAACCCTGTTAAGCTAATTAAGATCTTGCCCTCATTATTCCTAAAAACATATATACATATATTTATATTTGTTTAACTGGCAAAGCTTCATTTATCCTCTTGTATGAATGGCCATTACATGATTTTATTTTCAGTTGAACATTTTTTTTTTTTTGTTCCAAGTTTTGGCCCTATATTGTGCTTTTAAAATATTTTCATATCAAACTGAATATTGCATGCTATTGGTACTATACTTTTCATCAATTCCCTTTGAATACATTATATACACTTGCCGAATTTTATTTTACAACGATCTTAATACTGAAGCAGTTTATTGCGCCTTAGAGGTTTTTCATGGAGCCATGGTTTACTAACAATTAGCTTTAAAAATCTGCCACACATAAAAATATTTATGCTTAGTTTACATATACTCCCCTGGAGACAGAGAGATAAAACTGTACGTACTCCCCCTGAGATATCTCTGCACGTCATTACATTTTAACCATCTTATGTTGATAGTTCTTTTCTGGCCTGTTCAATAGACAAAAATATTTCCTTTTATTAAAACAATATTTTCACATGCTGATTTACCTATAGCTTCGCTTCTGTTCATTCATATGCACACCCACATTCACACCTACACACTGCTAAAGACTGTCAAGAGGACAATATTTGCAGCAGGAAAGAAATGGCATAGATCATTTTTAAAAATGTCTCCAATTCTGTCTGAAGGTATTCATATGTTGGCTGAAGTAAATAAAATTATTTTCTAATGGCATTATCTGAAAGTACTGGTT
This sequence comes from Homo sapiens, assembly GCF_000001405.40. Classification (NCBI taxonomy): domain Eukaryota; kingdom Metazoa; phylum Chordata; class Mammalia; order Primates; family Hominidae; genus Homo; species Homo sapiens. The sequence continues at coordinate 165,933,363 of NC_000005.10, read as the reverse complement.
GATACTGGAAACAACGGTTGATTTTAAAAATAGACAACCTTCAGGTATGCCATCATTTATTAAAAACATTTGTGATACAATGTGACTCTCCTACTACAGATAAACTATTTTACAGGGATTATTCCCCACAACATTTAAAATTTACAGAATAAATATATTTATTATTCAATCTGCTCTTTTGCATGTATAGACATGAGTAGAATTTTACCTCCTTTTTAAACACTTTTGCTTTTATTAAAAATGTATTACATGCTAAATTAATAGTTAAATTCAGCAAGTGTTAAATTCATGGTTAATTTCAGAGCCTTTATAATTTCAAACATAACTCTTCAGTCACATTTCCTGATTTGGGACATCCTTTTTTAATAAAAGCAAATGACATGCTTATGATTTTTTCTATTTGTACTCTGATTTCTAAAAAAAAAAAACCAAAAAACAAAAAAAACTGTTGGAGGAGAAATGGAACATCAATCCAAATTCTAGCATGCTATTTTATAGGCTGCTGTCTGTAAGAACATAAGAAAGACAGTGTTGTATGGTGAAGAGAATCTGACACATGCATAGATTATTTGTGGTTCTGGCTCTCTCCCTCCCTGGTGATGTGATCTGAGGATAGTCTCTCAATGTTTCTCTTCTTAATTAGTCAAAAGGATTGATACTAGGGAATACTGCATGCTAATTGTGCAATTCTTAGGTTAGAGAAAGAGCACATTGTACAAGAAAAGACAAGGAGAAAATTTGGGAAAATGTCAAGCACATTTTTAAAGACGCATGCATTGTTTTGAAGGTTTGACTTGTTGAGCTTTGTGAAATAGCAGTGATGTCCAGGGAGGTGATTTCTATGTACACTTGAAGTGTGACTCACGTACCAAGATTTGAGGAACTGTTTGGCAACATTTCTTCAGAAGAATATCAGGATTTTTCTGACTATACATTTCAGATGGTCCAATCTGAGCACAGGAATGTATAAAGGAATTTTATGAGCCAGTGTTGATTCCTGATCTAATTATTGTTCCCTAGGACAATTTTGGGGACAGGGACTAGAGATGTTGATAGGGACAAAAAACTGGAAAGGAAGGCAAGGAGTAGATTTTTGAAGAGCTTCAACTGTGTCTCAAGGGTTAAAAGTATTTATTCTGAAGACAATAGAAACCTTCCCCACCACCCACCCCAGAGACTTACTTTAACAGACAAACACCTAAAATATAAATATTTGCTAGTGATGGTGGCTTACACAGAGTTAAGAGGGAAATCTTAAGGAGTGGTGAATGTCAAATGACATTGAAAGCCTGAATTAAGGCAGTCTATAAACATCAGAAAGAAATTTTAGATGACAGACATTCTCTAAGAGGACTCCCAATGATCACTGCCTTATGATACTCATGCCCTTAGGTAATTCTTTCCTCTTAAGTGCCTGTTAAACGTATTGCCTCACTTCTGCAAATAGAATATGGCAGAAGTGATGGAATGACACTTCTAAGATTAAGTCACAGACTATGAATTCTGCTTTGTGTGCCCTCTCTTACTCTCTCTCTTGGACTCTTTCCCTGAGAGAAGGTAATTGCCATGCTGTGACCTATCCCTGTGGAGAGGCTCATGCAGCAAGAGAATAAAACCAGCCAATAACCGCATTCATCAGCTTGGGAGCAGATTCTCCCACCCCTAATCAAACCTTCAGATGAGACCACAGCCCCAGCTGACAGTGTAAGCACAGCTTTAGGAGAGACCTTAAGCCAGAGGCATCAAGCTATGACAAGCCAGAGGCATTGAGCTATGACATAGAGCTATTACCAACAAATGTGAACTAATAGATATTTATTGCTTTAAGCCATATGTTTTAGGGTAATTTAGTATGCAGCAATGGATAACTAATAAACAGAGATTTAAAAATAAAAGCATAGAGATAATAACAATGACAGTTAACATTTCTTGATTTTTACTATGTTGCATATAACAATCCTAAGATAAATAGAAATAATAGATTAAATATTTTTTGGAATTATATGAACCAAAGTTGCTATAAGTAGTGTAGAAACTAATGATGATACAAGAGTCAATGGGAAAGAGGATAGAAAGATAAAACATAGAAAAGAAGAAAGTGGGGTAGGTAAGGAAACAATAAAAGGTATAATTATTTGAGGACAATGGGTTTATAATATTATTCTAAATGATAGTGGAAGAAATGTGGGTTTATGTTACTATTGGAAAAACATTTAAAGGTACAATATGTAAAATACATGATTATAAAAATACTTTTCTTAAATTATAAAAATAGTTTTCAATTATAAAAATACTTATTACAATTTAAGAAAACTGTGCAAATCAAGTAGAAGTTATTTGAAGATATACTAAAAGTTAAATGCTTTATAATAAACAGGCAAAACGTAATCAACTTTTCTTTACAACATTTTCCTATTTCTTCTAGCTTGAACTTTATTACCTTGACTTGAAAATAATTAACACCAGACCACTTATTAATTATACTTTATGTTCTAGGGTACATGTGCACAACGTGCAGGTTTGTTATATAGGTATATATGTGACATGTTGGTTTGCTGCACCCATCACTTCGTCATTTACATTAGGTATATCTCCTAATGCTATCCCTTCCCCAGCCCCCCAACCCCCAACAGGCCCTGGTATGTGATATTCCCCACCCTGTGTCCAAGAGTTCTCGTTGTTCAGCTCCCACCTATGAGTGAGAACATGCAGTGTTTGGTTTTCTGTCCGTGTGATGATAGTCTGCTGAGAGTGATGGTTTCCAGCTTCATCCATGTCCCTGCAAAGGACATGAACTCATCCTTTTTTATGGCTGCATAGTATTCAATGGTGTATATGTGCCACATTTTCTTTATCCAGTTATCATTGATGGACATTTGGGTTGGTTCCAAGCCTTTGCTATTGTGAATAGTGCCTCAATAAACATACATGTGCATGTGTCTTTATAGTAGCATGATTTATAATCCTTTGGGTGTATACCCAGAAATGGAATCACTGGGTCAAATGGTATTTCTAGTTCTAGATCCTTGAGAAACACCACACTGTCTTCCACAGTGGTTGAACTAATTTACACTCCCACCAACACTGTAAAAGCGTTCCTATTTCCCCACATCCTCGCCAGCATCTGTTGTTTCCTGACTGTTTAAAGATCGCCATTCTAATTGGCATAAGATGGTATCTCACTGTGGTTTTGAGTTGCATTTCTCTGATGACCAGTGATGGTGAGCATTTTTTCATGTGTCTGTTGGCTGCATAAATGTCTTCTTTTGAGAAGTGTCTGTTCATATCCTTTGTCCACTTTTTGATGGGGTTGTTTTTTTCTTGTAAATTTGTTTAAGTTCTTTGTAGATTCTGGATATCAGCCCTTTGCCAGATGGGTAGATTGCAAAAATTTTCTCCCATTCTGTAGGTTGCCTATTCACTCTGATGGTAGTTTCTTTTGCTGTGCAGGAGCTCTTTAGTTTAATTAGATGTCATTTGTCTATTTAGGCTTTTGTTGCCATTGCTTTTGGTGTTTTAGTCATGAAGTCCTTGCCCATGCCTATGTCCTGAATCCAGACCATTTATTCTTTTATGAGCCATGAGAGCAAAAAGAAAAAAAAAAAACTGCCAACATTTATTGAACACATTCTATGTATCAGGCTCAGCCTTACCTCTTTTAAATATCATCTTGTTAATTTCTTACTTCAAGGAGCCATGAGTCTGGTGTATTATCCCCATTGTTAAGATAGGAAAACAAAGAGTCAGAGATTTTTAATAGTACGTCTCTCAGGTAGTTAAGTCTAATAAATACCTTCGCCTGTGATTCCAAAGTCTTCCAACTCATTATATCATCTCATTAGGCAACTGAGGTGATTTATCTCTAAGTTCTGTTTGGGTAGCAAAGGGCTATAAAGAGAGAGGTATTACTGTCATCACCTGTCTTTCCAATCTATACTTTCTGATATTGTTCAATTTTTTAAGGTAACTTTTTCCTTATTGAGTCACTTTCAGAAACAAACAATGCCCCCATTCCCTGGACTCGCTTTCTGAATCATCTGGCTTTATACAGAGCAATAACATTCCTCTCAACCTGTTTAATACATTTTCCTAAGAAATAGCAATAACCTCAGAGAACATAGCCTGTTTCTTCATTACGTGCCACTAGGTCCAATGACTCAGATGTGGCAAACCATACATGCTGTGAGAGTCCCCGATAGCGGGACCTGTCTCCCAGACTCCCACATAACAAGCGTCTCTCCTTAAATTTCAAAGTGATCATTTAAAATGCAGGGCTGACTAACACTTCCTTCTTTCTAAGTTGTACATTTTGTATTCCAGACTCCTGGTGTGCTGACCAAACCACAAGTGATCTTCACCTTTCTACCTTCGTTAAGCTCAGGCACATTTTGGGCAATTTCTGCCTAATTGGTCTTCCTTGCCTGATTACTGTCAGCTGGTGGTGTTCCTGTGCTGAAGTGCAATATCAAACAGCACAATATACCTTATTTTCTTACATAATCACTGTCTGCCCACCAGAATCAAGAACACAACATGCTAAATTACTATGATTGTTGGAATATCATTTGGAAAATACAGGCTTTAAAAAAAAATGCTGGGTTTGGAGGACTACTACTGCCCAAATAGCATTTTTTGCTTTTTGTCTTTTTGTTTTAGCACATAACTATGCAACTGAGTAGAGGGAACAGCAATTCCAGCTCATTGCGAGTTGTCAGAAATAATGCCAAGCCCAAAATCTGGACAGATGATAATCTCCCATTTGCTTTTTTCCCACTAAAATATGTAAGTACAGAATAAGAATATTTTATGTAAAGTGAACTAGCATTCCATGGGGTCAGCTCAGAAGAGGTGCTCTTGCTGAAGGGGAAAAAAAAAAGTTTTATTTCAAAGAACAGTCTTTCTTTTTTTTCCTAGGATGTGGGGGCTTCCTCCTTTCGTTTCAACCTGGGTGTTATAATTTTGACATGTGTTAAACCACTGAATGTTTTCTGATATAGTCTTCCTGGTCTAGTAGGCACTTCACTCTTTGGTTATCTCTGTGCCAAACCAACAGCTCTCAGCCCTTCCTCAATAGAGAGCTGTTCCATAACCACCTATTATGGGCTTGGTTGGGGAGGTATGCATTAGCCAGTGGAAAGTAGGAGTTTAGGAAAAGACAAAAAGACACAGGTGTGCTTGAGTCTGTAAGAAACAATGACAACACTGTCTGATAATATAATACAGAAGAACAGTGTTTCAAATAATTTAGATTAAAAAAAAAACAGTTCAAGCAGTGGCTCTGTCAATGGCTGCTTCAAACCTTGGCTTCTTCATCTGAAATATAGGCATAATAATTTGTCATGTATCTTAAGGTTGTTATAAGAGTTCAATGAGATTAAACGAGGCAATATTTATAAAGTGATTAGCATAGTGCCTGATGCATAGCATATGTTCAGTAAATGTGAGCTTTTCTTACTTGTATTATTTTTGTTAGTAGTAACTATTATTTTTAGGCTGGTGAAACTATTATTTTCGGGTTCGCAAAAATAGCAATTACCTTCCAACCTAACTGAGGAAAGTCTGTAATTATTTACTCCTTCACATCTCCACAACAAGTCTTAAAGGTATTAATACACTTTTTAACTTTTTTGCCAGATTAGAAACTTGAGGCTTACAAAGAATGTATAAACTAGCATGAATTTTTTAAAAATTTATTTTATGGTGATGATAAAGACATTGTTCTTCCCCAACAAAACTTCCTCCTGAAAGCAAATGTGGGAGATATTATGAATAGACAGTGGGATGGAATTTGATAAAGTTCTTACAGTTTTATTTCTATCATGTGTTACCCATTCATTTTTTATTCAACTAATATTTAGTTACTGCTCTAGGTTCTCAGGGGAAGATCAATGAACAAAACACACTGATTCTTGCTCTCAAGGAGCATATATCCTAGTGAAGACGCACACCAAACAGAACAAATCTACAAAGCATATGGTTTGAAAGCAATGAGTGCTATAATAATGACAACAATCATAAAAGTGGGTCAGAATCAGGAGACAGGAGTGCCAGGTGAGAGAGGGCAAGCCGTTCTTTTAGATAGGGTCGTCAGGGCAGGCCTCCTTGAAAATGTGGATGTGAACAAAGCTGAATGGGAAGCAGTGTCCCAGCTTGAGAAAACGCTCTGAGTTGGGATCATCTCTGGCACAGTTGAGGAGCAGCCAGCTGGAGCTGGAGCAGGGTGAGGGGGGTGTCATTGGTGACATGTTTGGAAAGGTTAGTAACTTATAGGTCAGTAGTAGGGATTTGGCTCTCACTCTGAGTGAAAGGGACAGCTCTTAGAAATTTTTTGGCAGAAGAGTGCTATTATTTGACTTTCTACAGATAGTAATAGACTGCAGGAAGGCCTTTCCACTGGAGCGATATTATCAGAAGAAGACTTTGGATTCAAATCTAAAAAAGAGTGGTAGAAATGTAGCCAAAGATTGAAATGTGGTCCCAGGTAGAGAGAAAGAAGCTACCAATCCAGCAACCCTGAAGATGAGGCTAAGACCTAAAGTAAACCAGTAGGAAGATAAATGGCCAAAGTTACACCATGGGTCAAAACGTCCAATATCTACAGAGATTAGGTATAGGAAAGAGTGTTGACCACTGCAGCAAAGCAGTGTGTGCCCTACTTGGGAAGAGTACCATTGCTCTACTCCAGCCAGTTTCTGCCATGAAGCTTCATGTTTCTTAGAAGAAACTGGGAATCTAAATTTTTAAATGATAAGTTTACAACTTTGAATTTCTGGCTGCAAAAACAAAAACAAAAAACAATTACTATATGGTTCAAACAAAACCTGTCTATAAATAGCATGTAAACTAAGAGTTGCTCATAGAGGCAAGCGCATAACTTTTGTTGCAGAAATGAGTAAAAAGAGGAAGATCTCAGGAAGGTGTGATGTGGCCATCCTGGAGACCAAATCTTCGGTGCAGCATCATAAAGAGCTCTTATTTTTGAGGTGCAGCATCATAAAGAGCTCTTATTTTTGAGTAGATGTGACCAGGAGGCGATGCCCACTGCTTTTGTTGCGTCACTCTTTCATCCTTCCTACAGTATTTTTCTAAGGATCGACTAACTCTGTTTCAAGAAAAAAAAAAAAGTAGTGGAATGATTAGTCTTTTTCTGTACATGTGAATTTCAGGCAGGTTGTCAGCCATTTGGAAATGCTTTTGTCCTGGATAGAATGAATAAACAAAGTACTGTGTGTGTTACTCATGACATAATTCTTGCTTTTTCTTTCAGCATCATTTCTTTTACAATCCTTCTTAGACTCCAACATAATACCTTTCTTTCATTTATCCAACAGGCCATTGATACTCATTCTCTCCCCTATGTTTCTTGTCCTCTCCTTCTCCTCTCCCATTTTCTATTTCTCCGTCTTTGAACTTTGGTTGTTCACTATTTCCCCTGCCAGAAGATTTTTAGCTACTTGTCTCTATTTAGTAAGTTTCTACTCATCCTTCATTCCTGACTATCAAAGCTGGAGTTACCGACATCCTGTGGCCACTGAAGTACTTCATATATTTATCACATTGTATTGTCATTACCTGATTTCTTGTATAAATCCCCACTACTGTACAACTTTGAGAGAGTGGAAACTATATCTATTTTTTTTTCACTTGTTCATCATTTTAGCCTAATCTCATGACAGTGTCTAGACATAGAAAATGCTGAATATTCATTAAATATAGAGATTATATCTAGCTACAATTTTTAATGGCTCTACTTAGATTTATTAGTAGAGTCTACCCAATTAGAGAAGATATTTTAATTTGAAGCTGAACATCAAGTTGAGTAATTTTTATAATATATTTATTTTTGTAACTATATAAAACCTTGTTTTATTATTTCAATGTGTTACTCTGGTGGAGGATTTTCTTGACTATATAATTATCAATTTCTTCAATATAAAATGTCCCCACAGTGCAAACAATATGGTAGGTAGAGGCTCAGTAAACAATTTAGAAATAACAAAATAACTGGATTTAAAACACTGGAACTTTTAAAAACTGAGATTGAGTTTGTTGTTTGTAACTAGGTGCTTTAAATTCCGGAGCAGATTTCATATCATTATTTTTTCTTTTAAGGCTTTTTCATGGTATCTTTCTTGCTTGAGCATTCCTATGTATTCAATTTCAAAGAAACCTGAGAGATCACAGATCAGGTAGATATTTACACTCGGATCATAACATATACATCAAAAGAAAGATTGAGTGGATAACACAAAGGCCAACTGGAATATAAGCAATGTGTTGTGTGTTTCAGGTTGCATTTTTATTACTTGATTTTTTTTAAGATGGAAGGCATATTTTCAGAAATTATTCATTCTACTTCGAGGGTTTCATCCAGTAGTAGATATTACATTACATTGTATGTGTGGTATACAAATAGTAAAAGCAAAAGGACAGTTATTTTATGCCTCCAGAATCAAAATGTGCTTATAAGAATCATCTCCATAATTCTTCTGGAAGTAAATTTTTCTTCTTAATTAAGTTCCTAGTCTTTCAATTAGAGATATGAAACAAGTTCGCTCTATTTGACCATAGCAGAAAACGAAATAAACTGAGACCTGGGAATCTGCCTATATATGAAAGCCCATGCTGATGTTGTCTCCTTTTAAAATCATTAAAGGAACTATAACAAATTGCATCCTTTGAAATGGAAATTACACAACTTCCAAATTCACTTCTCAGGAACTTTTTTTCCTTTGGATGATATGTTCTCAATACGATTTTTTTCCAGACTACACTTTTCCTTTTCTTTTACACCTCCAGGTTTAATCCCAATCAAAGCTAGCAAGTTCCATCCCTGTGGGGTACTAAAGAGAATTGTTTCATATTGTTACTGGGAGGATTTGTGACTTTAATTATTTTTGCAATTATTTGCTATAATTCAACTGTGATTTTATTATATAATCACAGTTTTACTTCCTGATCAATTATCTGATGCCTCTTCAAAACAACTCGGCTAATCTAACTTTGGGCCTTACACATAATGTCATTTTATACGTGCTCATAGTTTGGTTTCTTGTTGGAATACTTCAGAAAAGCAATAAACCTTCCCATGGGGCATACGCAGCTTTGCAACTTTCCTGTAACAATTTAATTAGTAAAATTATCAGAAAGATACTTCATACCCATTGTGATGTTTCAGCTCATTTTATGTTTCCAACCAGCAACCTCTCTACTTCTTAATGCCAATAGGAAAATCTAGATCATGATTAAGTTATTAAGCCAGAGTTCACTTCTTTGGAAAGACCCATAAAAGTTATGGTCCTTTTTATGTTTGCCCAGTAGAGATAATTTTATTCTGAGTATTTTCTTTGTGTATTTCTATTTAAAAAGTTCACAAGTATGTTTGTTCCCCAGCCTATTCTATTTTTTATTAGTTTATTTGTCTTTCCTATCATAATAAAATGTGCAATGTACACTTTCAGGGAAGAGATATTGTTTTTAAAAAATCAGAGGAAAATAAATAAATAAATAAATATATATATATATATACTTGAGATTTACACAAATGCTAAATCATTAAGAGGTTAGCATTAAACTGACTCTCAAAACATAATTTCTCTTTTACCTCATCAATGTGACCATACAAGTTTGTTATTAGCCAAGAATTATCTTGGCTAATATTCATTACATACTAGATATGTAATCCTTATTACATACTAGACAAAAGCAAAATAAATACTTTGGACTTTTCATACCCTTTATTATTTCATCACCAATTTAAAAAACAATTTCATGTTTATACTTTGAAAAAGTCTTGCCTAAATCCAACCAAACATTGCATTTGGAAGCTGTTTCCTATTTCTCTTTTACCTCATCAATGTGACCATACAGGTTTGTTATTAGCTAAGATTTATCTTGGCATCTTGTATAAACTGGTTTTTTTTCAAAGGGTCCCATAAAGTACCCGCTGCTGGGTATGGCAGCAAAGTCATATAATTTGGTCAGGGCCAATAAGCCGATAAAACAACAAATCTGATCACATAACTGAATTATATCTTTGAACTTTCAGACTACCAGTCTCATGTTGATCAATGATACTGTTGTGCATAAGTTGGGAAAAGTATGAAGCTTGTAGCCTAGAAACATTTGAGTTTCCAGAGTGTTTTTCTTTCCTATGGCTGCAGTAACAAATTATCACAAACTTAGTAGCTTAAAACAACACAAATTCATTATCCTATAGGTATGGATGTCAGAAGTCCCAAAAGGGTCCTACTGGGCCAAAACGAAAGTGTCAGTAAGGCTGCATTCCTTTCTGGAGGTTCTAAGGAGGAATGTCTTTTCTTGTTATTTTCAGCTTCTAGGGGCCACCCATGTTGGCTTGGAACTCCTTTCCTTCATCTTCAAAGCCAGCGATGGCCAGTTGAGTCTTTTTCACATCACATCACCCTGACACCGACTCTCCTCCCTTCCTCCCTTCCTCCCTTCTCCACGTGTAAAGACTCTTCTGACTATACGGGGTCCACCTGGATAATCCAGTTTAATCTCCCTTTTTAAAATTCAGATGATTAGAAACCTTAATTTAATCTGCTGCCTTAATCCTCCTTTGCCATGTAATGTAACATATTCACCGGTTCTGGGGGTTAGGAGGTGACATCTTGGGGGAATATCCTTCTGCCTGTCATACTGAGCAATACTTGTAAGCCTTAAATAGAAGCTTTATAGGCTTCAAAGCATATCTATTCAAAGTCTGGATGAACGTTTAACATTGGAACATTTTTAGAGGCCTTCTGCAAGTTGCTTCTAGTTCATATTTTTATATGTTTCCTCACTACATACTAGATAAAAGCAAAATAAATACTTTGGACTTTTCATACCCTTTATTATTTCATCACCAATTTAAAAAACAATTTCATGTTTATACTTTGAAAAAGTCTTGCCTAAATCCAACCAAACATTGCATTTGGAAGCTGTTTCCTATTAACTTTATCATATTGCATGTGGAAACTTGTTTTAATCAGAATAAAAAACAAATGTATATACATATATATGAAAATCAGGGCAATGATGAAGTTAAAGTAGAAAAGAATATGCTACATTGTATGACAAATAGGTCTGTCAATTTGCCTATCTTTTTTACATGCCATTTCTGATCCAGCCATATACTTTTTCATCAATTACTCCTTCAATAAAACAAGCAACCATCTGTCTATTTAGTCATTCATTTATTCACCCATTTACCATATATTTACTGAATGCCTACCATTTCTTAGGCTCCATCGTAGAATATCAAAACAAGAAAAAACATTAGAAACAATTTTTAACATGTCTATGGCAGCATGAAACCTCAAGCAACTTCTCCCCTGGAATCCTACTTTGGAAGAATAAGTTATTTGATCACCAAACCCATGTCCTCTTCCTAGCATATGACTAGCCTATATTCCAGTCTTTGCAGGGCAGTGACACTGTATGACTCTATACCAGTCAATGAAATGAATTATATATACCCTTCCTATGAGTTGTATTTTTAATATTTCTTTTTCTTTTTTCCCTCTTCAGCTGGAAGGAATAGAGACTAACCCACAAAGTGACACTGGCAGTTACATTTAAAAGAGTAGAGCCCTAATATGGAAAAATCCTGGGCTGCTGTTTCACTAATTGCAGGACAGTGGCCCAGTAGGGCCTCCTAACCAGCAATGACATCAACATACTGTTATTTGAAACATAAGTAAATGTTACTGTATTAAGCCTTTGAGATTCTGGGATTCATAGTCAGTAGCGTAATTGAGCAAATGTAAAACACAACAATGTGAATGAAAAAATTACTTTTAAACTCTATGTTAGGTTAATTAAAAAAATAATTATGGCCTGTGGAAGATAAAAAGCATAAAAAATATAAAGGCTACACAAGATAAGATTTGCATAGACATAATTTAAGGTGAACTACAGCAGCAACTCTAGAGAGAAAAGTGAAGAGATTCCAAAATCTCTATCAGTAGATTTCAAAACTGCAGGCCAAAAAGCACCTTCTAGATGGAAGGGGCTTGTTCTGAAGGTATAATCCCCGAAGACCTTGCATCAAACAAAAGCTGTGAGAACTGGAGCGACTGGCATTGCAGTCCATGGAATATAAGCCATATAGGCAACTCTAATAAAGGTGCTTAAAGAATTGATCTAAAACTAAACCAAAACAAACAAACAAACAAAAAACACCACACTCAGAGTGGGTGGGGATGGTTTCTGTAAAAAGCTGGGCCAGGAAAATCTAACAAATCCCAAGAAGTAATAAAAAGAGAGCGAACAGAGAATACACACAAAGATATAAAAACAAAAGGCGGGAAAGCAAGAAAAGTTGCCAGAGTTTTGGAAGGAAAAGTGCTGCCACAGAACAGATGACAATTCTGTCCAAACATTTCTCTGAGAATTAGGAGAATGGGTATGAGGCACTTGTTTCTATGAAGGAAAACCACACAGCACATATACAGGAGGAAACAGATATAAAATAAATAAATAAATAAATAAATAAATAAATAAATAAATAAATAAATAAATAAATAAAAATTGAACTGCCAGAACCCAGGGAAGAAATGGAGAGAGACATAACAAAGTGCAGACACTGCAAAAAATTCAGTTAGGGATGCAGTAGATGGGAATTACCAGAGCAATCAAATAAGTACACTTAAAAAACTAAAAATAGAGTGAAAGAAAGATCATTATAAATATCAGGCAAAGGAGTTATACGATGTTCTTAACTGGCTCCTCAATAAAAGTAAACCAAATATTTGAACGGGAAGGAAAAAAAAATCATTAAGATATAGTTCAAAGACATACTGCTGAATAAATCAATACCTGAATCTAGCTAATTAAAAGGCACACCAAACACCAGGAAAAGCTGACCCAGAGTAGTCAACATGGGAGATATCCTACTAAGATACTGGATCTCAATGATAAATAGCAAATAGATCCACAAAAAGACAAAATCTTTCATTAAATCTTTAGACTGGCATCAAATTTTCTTTTTTTTTTTCTTTTTTTTTTTTTTGCCTTGGGAAAATTTTTAGTAACAATTATTTCAATAATTGGAATTCAAATACAAGTTCCATGCTTCCATTTATAATTAGATAAGAGGCTTGAGGGTGGGTAGAGATGAACTTTGATTTATTACAATTATTTCAGTCTTACTTCAGATTGCAAGGAATATAATAACAGGACATAAGGAAATTTTACCTTAAGTATATAAGAACTATCTTGTAAACAGCTAGAGAAAATTTTCAATCTCAAACTAATGGGACCAATTCTAAATCACTATGAAGATTAGTCCTACTAATTTAGCAGTCATTTAGAGAACCTTATTTTTATTTATTTATTTATTTTTTTTTAGTATTTATTGATCATTCTTGGGTGTTTCTCGGAGAGGGGGATTTGGCAGGGTCATAGGACAATAGTGGAGGGAAGGTCAGCAGATAAACATGTGAACAAGGGTCTCTGGTTTTCCTAGGCAGAGGACCCTGCGGCCTTCCGCAGTGTTTGTGTCCCTGGGTACTTGAGATTAGGGAGTGGTGATGACTCTTAAGGAGCATGCTGCCTTCAAGCATCTGTTTAACAAAGCACATCTTGCACCGCCCTTAATCCATTTAACCCTGAGTGGACACAGCACATGTTTCAGAGAGCACGGCGTTGGGGGTAAGGTTATAGATTAACAGCATCCCAAGGCAGAAGAATTTTTCTTAGTACAGAACAAAATGGAGTCGCCCATGTCTACTTCTTTCTACACAGACACAGCAACAATCTGAACTCTCTTTCTTTTCCCCACATTTCCACCTTTTCTATTAGACAAAACCGCCATCGTCATCATGGCCTGTTCTCAATGAGCTGTTGGGTACACCTTTCAGACGGGGTGGCGGCCGGGCAGAGGGGCTCCTCACTTCCCAGACGGGGCGGCCGGGCAGAGGCGCCCCCCACCTCCCAGACGGGGGCGGTGGCCGGGCGGAGGCACCCCCCTACCTCCCTCCCGGACGGGGTGGCTGGCCGGGCGGGGGCTGCACCCCTAGACTGGCATCAAATTTTCTATAGCAACATTCAAAAACGGGACCATAGAAAATAATAAACAAAATGGATGGAAATAGAGTAACACCTATTAGAATTTAAAGACTAAAAGAGGACATCTAAAGATTATTTATTCAACGACGGTGTCCCCCTTGTAAATAGTCTATAGAAAAGTAATTTTAAATATAGAGGACTTCAGTATATGTTTCTTATGAGTCCTTATTTAGAAAAACAAAGGAAACTATTAGATGAACTCTAGCCAAACAAGAGATTATTGGAGAAATCCTAGCCAAAAGGATTAGTGGCATTGACTATTTTAACTGCAGAATTAAGTTTAAAATAGATGTATGGATGATCATGAAATATTAGAATTTAAGGTATATGCCCATTACTAGCAACAACAACAAAAGAGAGTGAATAAGGGAAAGATAATGAACAATTTGAGTAGGAAGAAAGATCGGGTTCACAGGAACTGCTGGTGTGTTTTTTGCTGTAAGTATTACTAATACACCTTGATTCGGAAATCTTGTATTTGTTTTTAGGATAATATGAATATAGCTATTACAAACTTCAGAGTCTAAGTTACCAATTATAAAACAAAGATTTTCATATCACATTAACAAAGCAAAATCTAACTCTATACCATGTGCAATAGATACACCTGAACAAAGTACTTCGGGGAGTATGAAATTAAAAGGATGTGCAGAATTATAACAGGAAAACAAAATAAGAAGAAAACATGGATTGCACTCTCAATATCAGAACAATGTTTATAAATAAAGTAATATTATGTAAAACAAGCAGGGGTGCTTTATAATGCTAAAATGCATAACTTATATCAACCTTAACACTCACACATCATAATTATAGAAAATGTAAGAAGAAATAGAAATGCACTAGTAGTAGGGTGTGGTAATACAGGATACTAATGAATTCCCACAGTAGTGCTCATGGAACATTCACCAAAGAAATGACCATATACTTGGAGAGAAAATTTTAATTAGTGCTGAAACAGAAAAAGCATGACAAATTTTGTCTGTTTTCAATGTAATAAACTAGAATTTCAATAACGAAGATAGAAACAAAAAATCATTCTCTGTAAATGAACAAGGGTCCTTTTTAAAACATGCATATCAATAAAAAAATCAGAATTGCTACAGAACAATGATAATGTAAACATTATTTATGTATAAAAGTGCTATGAGGAAAATTCATTGCCTTACATAATTATAAAAATTTTAATTGGGAGGCTGAGGCAGCTGGATCACTAAAGGTCAAGACTTCAAAACCAGCCTGGCTAACATGATGAAACCCCATCTCTACTAAAAATACAAAAAAATAGACCAGGCGCAGTGGCTGACGCCTGTAATCCTAGCACTTTGGGAGGCCGAGGCAGGTGGATCACCTGAGGTCAAAAGTTCTAGACCAGCTCTGGCCAACATGATGAAACCCTGTTTCTACTAAAAATCCAAAAAAAAAAAAAAAAAAAAAAAAAAAAAAAATTGAGCCAGGTGTGGTGGCACATGCTTGTATTCCCAGCTTCTCAGGAGGCTGAGGCAGGAGAATCGCTTGAACCTGGAAGGTGGAGGTTGTAGTGAGCCGAGATCATGCCACTTCACTCCAGCCTGGGCAAAAGAGTGAAACTCTGTCTAAAAACTAAAAAATAAAAATAAAAAATACAAAAAATAGCCGGGTGTGGTGGCTCATGCGTGGATCCCAGATTCTTGGGAGGCTGACCCAGGAGAATTGCTTGAACTTGGGAGGTAGAAGTTGCAGTGAGCTGAGGTCGCGCCACTGTACTCCAGCCTGGGCGACAGAATGACACTCCATCTCAAAAAAAGAAAAAAAAATTTTTTAAAGATACAAATGAATCAACCATGTCAGGCTCAAACTTCATTAAAAAACAACAATATAAAGCAAAATAAAAAAACTAATACATTACAAAAGGAGAGAAAAGAAACAAATTTGAAAACCCTGTTGATTAGGAGTAAATATAGAATAGCTAAGCTTATAAGGGGTAATATAAAATTATTATGGTTATAATTTTATGTAATTATAACGAATAACAAAAAGAAAAGAATAAAATTTAAAAAGGGAAAGAACTTAGGGAGAAGTAACCAGAGAGAGAGCCTGTTAAAGAATCACAAGTAAATACTCTGAAGCTTTTGGAAAAATATGCCTTATTTCCTATGAAATTAAAGTTACCAGAATAGATCTCAGAGCAGAAAGAAAAAAAAAGTAAACAGAAAAATGTCCATTGAAAGAGTGGCATTTGCCAAAGAGTTTTTAAGGGAAATTCTACCCAACAATTAAATAGCAGGTAATTGCAAAGATTTAAAAACATTTTTAGAGCATTAAGAAAAGGACAACATTCAGGCCGAGGCGGGCGGATCACGAGGTCAGGAGATCGAGACCATCCTGGCTAACACGGTGAAACCCCGTCTCTACTAAAAATACAAAAAATTAGCCGGGCGTGGTAGCGGGCGCCTGTAGTCCCAGCTACTCGGGAGGCTGAGGCAGGAGAATGGCGTGAACCCGGGAGGCGGAGCTTGCAGTGAGCCGAGATCGCGCCACTGCACTCCAGCCTGGGCGACAGAGCGAGACTCCGTCTCAAAAAAAAAAAAAAAAAAAAAAAAAAAAAAAAAAAAAAGAAAAGGACAACATTCAAACCCTTTGTACTAAATGAATATAATGCTCTAAAGTATTAAACACACAAAAATTGAAAATTAGATGCTAATCTCAGTTATAGATAGCAATGCAAAGTTTACAAATAAAATTCTCCAACATGGAATTCAGTAACATATTAAGGGAAATATGCCATGAAAAAATGAGTTTTATTAAAGGAATTCAAAGAAAGTTCAATATTATTAAATATACTAATCACATTCATGTTACTAAGTCTTAGGAGAAAAAGGCATTTTATTATATCCATTTAAACTGAAAGGTATTGATATTTAAAAACAATTTTAAAAATATTCAATAAAACAAGACTGATCTATACTTACATAATACAAAAATGTCATCTGTCTCAGCCCAAAGCTAGAGCTGTTATTTTTCAAAAGAAAGCTCTAGAAGCAGTCAAGAGAAGACTTCAAAATACGGTATCACTGTTACTTTATAATATCCTAGAGATGTTAGACAAGATGATTATACAAGATTAAGCAACAGAAGCATAAAAAAAGAAAGAAGTAGGTACAACTCTCAGTATTTACAGAAAACATGATAGAATACCTAAAAATCCCAGGACACAACTGAAAATATGCTATAAACAAGGGAATGCCATATTCATTATCAAAAATAATACAAATAAATCAACATTTTCAGGCAAATTAACCACAACATAGAAGGTAAAAAATAATATCAACAAACACAAGATAAAAGATTTAGAGAAAAAAAGTTACAAAAACCAAAGAGAAATGCACAAGAATAACTGGAAATAATGATACACAGCGTATTTGAAGTACATTTTAAAGCACTTCTGAAGGTTATAAAAAAAGAACTAATAAAGACACACTGAGTTCTCACTAGCAAAGTATAGCACATAAACATGCAAATACTCCATATGTTGCTTTATTAATTTAACTTGATCTCAATAAAGATATAAAAATATTTTAAAAAATGAAACAAGATGATTTTAAGTATAAACAAATAAATTAATAACTATAGCCAGTAAACTTTAAAAAGTGAAATGAGAGGAAACAGGCACTCTTTGATAAGGTCTTAATAATTAACTCAGTATATTACTGGATCATGGATAAATTAAATATAAAAGAAAACCCAAAAATAAGAACAAATTAACATAGTAAAAAAAGACTAACTCAGTGAGGAAAAGATAGATTATTAATTAGTGGTGCTATCACAATGAAGTAAAAAAACTATACACTAATTTTATTTCTCTTTCTCTCTCTCTCTATATATATACATATACGTATATATACATAGATACACATATATACACATATATATACATATACATATATATATTTTTTTTTTTGGGCGGGGGGAGATAGAGTCTCCCTCTGTCGCTCAGGCTGGAGTGCAGTGTCAGGATCTCGGCTCACTGCAATCTCCGTTTCCTGGATTCAGGGGATTTTTTCTTCTTAGGCCTCACAAGTAGCTGAGATTACAGGCACGCACCACCATACTCAGCTAATTTTTGTACTCTTAGTAGAGACAGGGTTTCACCATGTTGCCCAGGCTGGTCTCAAACTCCTGAGCTCAGCCTATCTGCCCACCTCGGCCTCCCAAAGTGCTAGGATTACAGGCATGAGTCATCACACCCGGCCTATACTCTAATTTTAAAGATAAAGTAATCCCAGCACTTTGGGAGGCCAAGGAGCACAGATCACTTGAGGTCAGGATTTCAAGACCAGCCTGTCCAACACGGTGAAACCCCGTCTCTACTAAAAATTAAAAAAAAAAATTAAAAAAAATTAGCCTGGCATGGTGACAGGGGCCTGTAGTCCTAGCTCCTCAAGAGGCTGAGGCAGGAGTATTGCTTGAACCCGGGAGGCAGAGGTTGCAGTGATCCGAGATCGTCCTACTGCACTCCAGCCTGGTGACAGAGCAAGACCCCGTCTCAAAAAAACAAAAGACACATGAAAATTTGAGGAAAATATATTGCAACCCATAACACAGACAGATAATACCCATAATACATAACTCTATGTCTAGAAAATTGATGAGCTAAGCGTTAATAACCCAATACAGAAATGGATGCATAATGTGAACCCTCAATTTGCAGGAAAGTAAAAAGGTTTCAAACATATGCAAAGATGATCAACCTTAATATGAAAAATATAAATAATAATATAAATGAAAATACAAATAAAAATTATATAGTTTTTGCTTCTCATACTAGCTAAAAATATACGTTCAATATCAAATTATGCTGAGAAGGCTGTAGGGGAAACAGGCACTTTCACATACAGCAAGTAGGCGTATAAGTCAATTCAATCTCTGTATAAGGCATTTGACAACAGCTATTGATATTATAAATATAAGTAACAGTTGACCTAACAATGCTATTATGAACATATTCTTAATCAGACATGACCCTGAATTGTATTAAGTTTGAATTCTATAGTCTATATAAAAAAAAAGATAAACAAAATTAAGGTCAAAGCTTTTAAAATTACATGTAAATTCCAGACACATTTTTAAGTGGAGATATATGTACACATGTGTCAAATGGCCTCTGTACATGGCTATTTGAGTAATATTTTTAATAACAAGAGATTGAAAACAAATAATACCCATCAATGGAATCTTTATATTATCGGTATATATAAGAAGAAAAAAAGGCAAAGTAAAGGTTATTGTGTGTGGCTTCCTATCTTTTGAGTAGAAAAGAAGACAAAATGAAGAATCTGTATTCATAATTGTTTGTGTAGCCTAAAGATTCTCAGAAAGGATATAAAATAATTAGAGTGGCTCCCAATGGGCCAGGGAAATTGGATAGATGGGAAACAAGAATGGGGGAAAATGTTTTCATTTTTTCATTAGATACCATTGCATAATTGTTTCTTTTGACTAAAATGAATGTCATTTTTATCCAAGGATTAAACGAGAACAAATAAAATAAAGAACAATGCTAAATGTTTTGAATTCCACCACTCATCTAATACTAAATTTTTCTGTAGAGTCTACTTTCGTGAATCAAAGAATTAGAAGATGCTTTTAACACCTGGAGTTAAGGTTCTAAACCCAGAACCAAATTCTAGTTTAAAAAGTAATCAGTCAATTCAGATTTGGCTCCTCCAGATGTAGATAAATGTGATTTAGTAATTCACATAGAATAATACTGTTAAAATGCTTCTTTTTTTTTCTCTTTAGGGAGATTAATGTATTTTTGCTTTTTTGCATCCTGGAAGAAAACATCTCTCTTTACATTGAAAGGATAAAATAATTAGAATCCTAGTCCCAACTTCATTTTGAAGTTATGTTTGTTCAGCTTGACAATACGAAAACAGTTTTCTTCTTCATTGTCATCATCAATCTTGTCTGTGAAATATTGTATTTTAAGAACATGAAGGCAAGCTACACAGGAAGAGAACTATAATGTAAGTCAACCTGCCATTCAATGTACTAATCCTCTAAACATCTCAACTGTCAAACCACAGATATCTGAGTGCTCGTGTGCAGTAGATAAAGAAAATCACTGGACAACAGAAAATGTTTAAAGGAAAACTAGATGCACATGTCTTGATATGGTTTTCCATCCCAAATGCTAAAATAAATGATACAGTGACATTTTAACCTTATGCAGCAGGAGTGTATAATACAAACATTATATTCTAGTCTACTAAGTACTTCATTTATATAATTTAAACCTCATAGTACCCATATCATGTGAGATGGGCATTGTTATCTGCATTTAACAATTGGGAAAACAGAGTCTCAAA
This sequence comes from Homo sapiens, assembly GCF_000001405.40. NCBI lineage: Eukaryota > Metazoa > Chordata > Mammalia > Primates > Hominidae > Homo > Homo sapiens. The sequence goes on along the minus strand of NC_000005.10, from coordinate 165,912,937 downwards.
GAGGATGAGGAACTTGCTCAAGGTCAAAGGGTTTTGAGCTGAGACTCAAATACAGGCTTTTGATTTCAAACTTCACAATCCATTTGCTTTGCTCTCTTATGAATTCATATGGTTTAGATATATGTCCCCACCCAAATCTCATGTTGAATTGTAATCCCCAATGTTGAAGGGGCCTGGTGGGAGGTGATTGGATCATGGTGGGGCTTTCCCCTTGCTGTTCTCCTGATAAGTGAGTTCTCATGAGATCTGGTTGTTTAAAACTGTGTAGCACATTTTCCTTCTCTCTCTTCCTCCTTCTCTGGGCATGTAAGATGTGCCTGATTCCCCTTCGTATTCCGCCATGATTGTAAGTTTCTTAAGACCTCCCTAGCCATGCATCCTCTACAGCTTGCAGAACTGAGTCAATTAAACCTCTTTTCTTTATAAATTACCGAGTCTCAGATAATTATTTATAGCAATGTGAGAAAAGACTAAATACATGCATGATATCACGTAAGTATTGCTTTTATCCTTAATCTCTAATTCACGAGAAACTATCTTAGGCACTTAAGTGGATTGATGATGTGTAAGAGTTCCATGGAAATAGCAATGCTTGATACCTGGGGATGTAAAATTCCAATTAAAATTAGTTGCATCATATTTTACATTTGTAGGTTATTTAAATTAATTTAAAATTCGGAAACACAAAAAGTAAGATAACATTACACTTCTGTTGTTTATCTTTTCCTTTGATACATGGAACCTATTTACCCATGGTTCAGGAGAAACCAAATTATTTTAAAGGATCTAGAAATAACCCAAACTGCTCTGAGGATGATTACTGAAACCAAGTAATACAGATCATCATTTTGGATAATTGTTCATCCAAACTATCTCTGTTTTTAGGGGTTTATATTGACTATAGATGCTTTTTCTCTACATAAAAATATTTTGGAGAAAAATGTTGCAAAAATTTCAGACAGAAAACTCTTAGTATTTTGTTAGACAGCACAAGAATGTTTTCCTGTGTCTTACTTTCAATATTATTTAAAATGTGAATTTGAAAACAAGTAAATGTCATTAATTATGTTTTAGGCATAGACAGCTAAGTAAGAATTCTTCTAGTATCTTTTTATGAGGAAAAAATACCTATACATCTTTCCCCCAGCAGAATGAATCATCTCTTGGTTCTAGATCCGATATCACCCCGGACTGTAGGCATTATCTTTGAATTCTATGCTCTAAGTAAAAAAACCAAATAAACAAAATTATGACCAATGGCTTTTAAAATTACACACAGTAAAGTCCAGAGACATTTTCATGGCCTACGAGACCCTACATTACCTCACTCTCTTCTTCTGCTCTGCCTTTTCCTGGGAGCTCTCTTCCCGTCTTTATTACAGCAGTAGGGCACCATGTGGAACCTCATGGACCTCAATATGGAAAGCCCATTCTTGTCAAATGCCACATTAGATACTTGCTACCCTTCCTTCTTGGAAGACTGGTTCTCAAAATCTTCCTGTGGTTGATGCCAGATCTTTTCAACCAGGTCCCCACAAAAAATTTATTTCTCCAGAGATACCAAACTGACCACCAATTTATAAATCACCAAGAACTGAACCCACTCTCCATTACACTACTTTGTTTTAATGTCTTCATCACTTATCTATGAAATGTTATTGTTGATAGAATTACTTCTGTAATACTTTTTTCATTAAAATACAAATGTTGTACATTATATACCACTGTTGCCCCAGCACTTAAAAGAGACATTGATATACAATAGATGTGCAATAGGTTACTTGTTGCAATGACATGTTGTTAAAGTTTTACTGGTTAAAGATGGACTATTGAAAAGAAAACTCAGACAGAAGGAAATAAAAGTGGTCTGATAAATTACATAGATTTTATTACACAGACACACAAATACAGAGGATTGAAGAAAGGAAATGCTTTTAACATGTCCACTGTCATCATTCCTTTCCTGTCCCCCTTCTCCTAGAGTTTTCAAAATCATGTAGCAGAAGAAACAGTATCTTATGGAACTGTCGTGTCCCTGTTATTTCTGTGTTTAGCTAGCTATATAACTATGGGTCATAACACACTTGCCAATCTGAGTGTCATTATTTATAAACAAGCCTGAAAGTCTTTTACAACTCTAAATACCATGATTTTATAAAAACAGGAAAATCATTTTATAGTATTTAAACATCTTGGTGAAAATATAAATTTATATAAACAGTTTTTAGAGAAGAAAATAAGTTGGCATATTTGGGATAAAAAGCTAAGACTGCAGCATATATTTAAGTTGAATTTCTATTAAAAAAAACTTGCAACTTCAAAGCTGGCATAGTCTACTTTTTGCACATGCACTCAAAACCCCTAGAGCAATAGACATGTTTTTAATGACTCAAAAAGTAGAAACTGCCAATTTATTTTTCCTCAAATAATTAAATCTTTAATTAATTTCACATATAGTTAGTAATAAGCATCATCCTAGTTTTGAACTTTCAAGTATTCCTCAGTTTGCTTTTAGCATGCTTCTGTGCTTACTGGAGCTACTTAAGTCTCATGATCAGTTTGAGAATAGCTCTCAAACTTTCACTTCTTAAAAAAATAAAACACATTCCAAATTATGTGGGGAACTGTTGAGTCAAGAGATACAAATTATATGAAACCATAAAGTGGCATAATTGAGCAAAGCAATTTTGGTGAGAAACTAAAAAGGAGGGGGAAATCATGTAAATGTGATTATTTCTAATTAGAAACAATGAGTAACCAAATCAAATTATACAATGAGGATTTGATTTAGATCCCTGGAGGAAAGCCACACAAGCATTTGCATTCACCTCCAGCTTTTCCTTTCCCCTATTACTTCTCAATGCTTTCTTAGACCCTTAATTGTAAGTAAGACGGTTGTTAGCACAGATATTTAGACTAGCTCTCTGTATATAAGTTTATATTCCAGTTAAGATTTATGTCCTCTCAATCTTATTCACCAAAAATGTCCTGGGTCCTTATAGCATGCAAAGACACCATACTAAGTGCCATAAGGTGACATAAAAAAGGCACACACCTTTGCTAAATTCATTGCCTAGTGTTCTTGAACAAACCACAAAAACTGATATTTACTGGGAGATCTAGAAATTGATTCTAGATTTGTGATAGCTAGCTACATAACTTCAGCTAAATAATTTAACCACTAATGTCTTCATTTCCTTATTAAAAGAAGTGTGTGTAGGGGGTGGGCTGGGGGCAGGGGGTGGTAAAGGTTAGCCAAAATTTAAGCAAACTATATTGAGAAGTTTCTTCTGCCAGATTCTTGGGGGAGAGCCTGACTCTGTATTTAGTAAAACCAGCCCAATTGTCCCACAGAACTGATGTTTATGGTTCCTTTGAATAAATATAGAAATTGATCTTCCCAGTCTTAAAACTTGAGGGAGTCACATTTGTCTTATCTGAGTTCCTTTCTCAGGAAACCAACCATGACGCTTCCCAAATAGTATCAAGGAACTGAAATTCACCAGATCGATCATCTGGATAATGGGATGCCAGACCCCTTGCCCATCGTGATTGTGTAACTGACCACATGCTTCCTACTGACCAACTTCTCTTACTTACCCCTCCCTAATTCCTGTTTTCTCACACATGGTTACATTTCTCCTTGCTATATAAACCCCTAATTTTAGTAGGTCAGGGAGATGAATTTGAGATGGATCTCCCATCTCCTCAGCTGCAGCACTGAAGTAAAGCCTTCTTCCCTGGAAATACTTGTTGTCTCAGTGATTGGCTTTCTGTGCAGCAAATAGCAGGACCCAGACCAAACCCGTGGCATTTTGGTAACATTAGGACCTCAGCAAAGTAGGGGTAGAATAGAATAAAATAGTAGACTTCAATGAACTTACCTAGAATTTTACAATTAAAAAAAAACTCTAAGTTTATTTTAAATTTAGCATGCACCTAAGTTATGTGTTAATCTTTAGTGTTTTCAAATCTGATTTGACAAATTGTCCTTTTTTTTTTTTTTTGAGATTGAGTCCCACTCTGTTGCACAGGCTGGAGTACAGTGGCATGATCTCAGCTCACTGCAGCCTCCGCCTCCCAGGTTCAATTGATTCTCCTGCCTCAGACTCCAGAGTAGCTTGAACAATAGGCATGTGCCACCATGCCCGGCTAATTTTTTGTATTTTTAGTAGAGACGGGGTTTTACTATGTTGGCCAGGCAGGTCTTGAACTCCTGACCTCATGATCTGCCCGCCTCGGCCTCCCAAAGTGCTGGGATTACAGGCATGAGCCACTGTGCCTGGCCCTCAATCCCTTTTTTTGAGACTGGCCTCTTTGCTGTTCTGTGAACACAGCATGCACTCTCCCTGGTTTCTCGGTCTCTGTATTCATTGTTACTTCCAGCTGAAATATTCTTACTTCCAGAGAGGTCATACCAAACCACGCTAATCATTCCCTATTTTCTTATTATGCCTTATTTTATTTTTACATAAAATCATCTTTTTTTGCCATTATAATACATATCTTTTCACCTATTTATTGTCTGTGTCTCCGACTGTCATGTAAGCTCTGTGATGGTAGATGCAGTATCTGCTTTATTCATTGCTATATTCTCAGTGCCTAGAACAGAGCCTCAGCTCTTAGAATGAACACAATAAATGTATGTTCTTTGAGTGAACATGGGGGATGTACCTTAATATGTTCAATTCTTCAGGTCTTTTAATCTAACATTGCATACAAAGAAAACAGAGGCATAGTCCCTGCCCTAATAATACAGGGCATTGTGATCATACCTCATTATACCTAATCATATATAATATATAATGCCCTAATAATACAGGGCATTGTGATCATACCTCACAATACCTAATCATATATAATGCCATATATAAATGTCATGGCACCCATTATTAGATATGATGCCAGTACACTCCAAGAAGTTCCATAATCCCCATTACAGCATAGCTTCAGATCAAATGACCACCTGTAGGAGAGGAGACCAAGTGTGAAGACTTAGCTCTTTGAATTGTTTCCTTAGTAGTGTGTAGTGAATAGAAGGAAAGATTGAAAGACATGGTGATTAAATGACCTTCAAGCGACCTTTGAGCATCAACATTGTAATTCGAAAAGTTTTATTACATCAACTTTTTCATGAACTAAATGATCATGTTCTTGATACTGAAGTTGTAATTTACTGGATGTATGCTAACATTACATCAAACTAGCATTTCTCAATGCCAAATAATATTCTAGAGCTCTTAATTGAACAAACTCTCTTGATTAGCTTAAACAATGCTTTATACTGAGAGATCTTTCGAAAAGTCAGAATGCCCTGTAGCCGATTAACCTTCTGGGTAATCTTGCAGCAAGGACATATTTTTAATGCTTCAACAATCCAATTTATTTCCTTAGCACGTTAATTTTTATCTCCCCAAATGATATTTTCTTGACTTCAGTTTAGAAAGCACTGCTCTAGTATCCTCCTTGAAGGCAGGAAACTATTTATTCATTGCTTTAGAGCCCACACCTAGCCCAGTATAGGGGATACATATTTTAAAAAGTCAAAGAGATGAATATTGAAAAGAGTTAATACATTGCATTCCCTTTTCCTAGAACCAGGGGCACATATAAGGGCACAAGAAAATAACATACGAATACTAATGTGCTATAGGCTTGCTTCAGGAGAAATCTCTTGGCCATTTTTCTAAGCCCTGAAACTGGTGTGCCTGGGCTGAAAGGAAAACATTTCTGTGCCTAGTAGAAGGCAACCTCTTCAATAGGAGAGGAAGACAGATTTTTAATACAGGCAATTACTTCCATAAAATTACTTAATGATAGCACAGTTTGTCTAGATTAGGCTGGTATGATGCATCTGCCAAGGCATCTGAAGCATCTACTGAATTATATTAGTTCTGTAAGAGGATGCAGTGTTTATGACTCATGCATAATATCCAGGCTCCCATATTTTATAAGATTATTCTAAATTGGGTAAGATTTCACCCATAAGGCCAGAAAAATCATGTTGTGATTACCTTTTCCTTCTAGTTTTCTATTCATTAAAAAAAACAAATAAGTTGATGAATTTATCACCAGCTACATATTAATTATAAAAACCCAGCAGACTGTGTTATTTTAATATTCTTTAAGAGAGCTTGAGAAATAAACAATAGGTAGAGTCTTTAATCTCAGCCAAAGGACAAGATTTATAGTAGTTATAACAACAACAACGATGACAGCAGCTGCCATTTATTAAGTATCTACTGTGTGCTAGAAACCAACTTAGTTTATTTACATATGTTATTAATGAATTATCTTAAAGCAAAGACAATCCCATCTCTTTCTAGAGAAGAGAAAAACTACCTTAATGAATGGCAGAGACCTAATATAATATGTAGGTTTTTCTGACTCCAAAGTCCACATCTCTGTATGTCACACGGGAAGCTTTTCAAGTAGGTGTTGAGAAGACAACTGATGTTGGCTTGGCATATAAGGAGGTTTCATGAAGAGATTCATTGTATAGGTGTTTCACAGACACCTCTGTACTATACTTGCCTAATGTAACCATCTGGATCACTCGCCTTTGGTTTTGCCAGTCAGCAAGTGCTTCTTTCTTATTTTCCTTATCATGCTTTCATCCTTTGTTTGAACTGTAGGAGCCAAATCTCTTTGTTCACTGATTCAGGTCAAAAACCTAAGTCACATGTGACATCTCCTTTTCTCATGTGCCATAAGTTTCATCACCAAATTCCGTTGCTGCTACCTTCAAAACATACACGCAATTTGAATACTTCTTGCCATGTCCACTGTTTCCATCATGGTCCAATGTACAATAGCTGACCTGATTATTACAATAGCTCTCTAAGAGCAAACCTATTTTCACCTGGTTTCTATTGGAATCTGCTCTCAACCCACCATCCTGAATGTAAGCCACATCTTGTAGGTCATTCTAGGCCATTGCAAATACTTTAGCTTTTATTCTGTGTGAGATGGTTTGGTTTATTCTGTGTGAGCCCTTGCATGGTTTGAGGAGAGATGGGCTGGCCACCTTAGCCTTCTTTCTGTGAACATCTCACATAATCTCCACTCCAGGGTGTCGTCGGGGGCTGTCCATCTTCTAGGGACACTTTTCTAAGTAGGGGCAGAGCTCACTCCAGTTCCTTAGGCATTTACTCAAATGGCTTCTCTGTGTGGCCTCCTTGTCATCATATTTAAAATTAAACCTTCCTTCCATCATTTCAAGCATTTGCTATCCTTTCTTCTTTTTCCATGGCACTTATCACTATCACACTACATATTTCACTTCTTTATTTACTACTTTTTTATGGTGTTTTTTTAAAAAAACACCTATTATGCTATGAATTCATAGGGAATAGGTTTCAGCATCTCTGGCTCCTTTCCATTGCTTCCCACAAGGTGTGCTTCTCTGGGTGGAGCAGGCTGGTCTTTCCATTAAACCCAGCTACCTTTCTCTTTGGCTTCCTTTTCTGATCATTTTCCTTCATGGGTTTCAGGAAGCTATCTTGGCTCCTAGAGTGCCTAACATGCTCAATATGCACATTACTTCTCTTGGCAGGAACCTTGCCCTTAACTTGCTTGTTTACAACAATGCCCGTGACATGCTGGGTAATGCTGCAGACACAGTTTTGCCATGGTAACATTTGTGGGGCATTCCTTTTTGAGCAGTACCCATTACCATTCCCCTGATGTCTATAATATCACCCTTCTTGTATATTCGCATGTACATGGCCAAAGGAACAACTCCATGTTTTCTAAAAGGCCAAGGAAATATATATACACCAGGTGCCACTCCTCTTTTCCATTGTTTGTCATTTTGGAAAATTATTGGATGGTGGTGGTTCTGGTCAAGAGGAAGCATCACTTACTTAGTCTCTCCACTTTTTCTGTCTCTGCCCACCAGCAGGCAAACCTTATAAGAGGAGGCATATTTGTTTGTTTGGTTCACTGCTGTGTTCACAACCACATCACCTAGAAAAGGGCTTAACACATCAGCAAAGCCTTTTCATTAATATTTGTTTGAATGAAAATGAATAAGTTAACTGACCTAACATAAAATAAAAAGCCACTGAACTCATTTAGATCCAAATTTATCCAGAACATACATTATATTTTTCTTTTAAAAAGTGAATAAAATATTTAGTCTTGGAAGTGCTTCATTTATCTTTTACAGGTAGGGGATTATCATATATTTGCCAGATGACAAATTCCAGGCAGTCTATTATTAATCATATGGCAACCTATGAACCCCAGGGCTCCCAATCTAAGCCCTTGTCGCCCAGAGAACTGAGGAGGAGAAAATATTAATAAACAGCACAAAGTTGTATTGTATGGCTTTAATTAAATAGCTTTAAAGTAATAAATGATTGGAAATAATTGCCACAATTAGCAAGTCACCAAGTGCATAGGAATGACAGAACTTTAGAGTAGAAAATGCTTAAATTTCTCTTTGAAGAAAGAGACTGACTAGAATTTAACTTTTTACTGTAGAAATTAATTTTTAAAAGAAAAAGCACATACACAAAAAACCCATCTCACACATATGCAAACAATTGGGTCCCACATATATACATGGTAACAGGTTTACTCATCTATGTATGGCCTTTGTCCTAGTACACCATACTATACACACACACACACACACACACACACACACATACACACACACATGTATTTATAGGTATGAATACATGCAGACATATATACATATGCATATATTTCTCTACACCACCTGCAAAAAGTCCTTGTCATCTGCCCTATTCAATTTTATGGGCAAACATGAGACCTGGACTATAGGGAAAAATTATATTTCAGACAGAGTTCTATTCAACTATAATGTGAAAGAACAGAGGCAATAAGATGAGACCATAGCTGGGAGGGATTTAGGCTGGTCCCCAAAATAAATTGCTGAATAAGGGTTATAGGCCATGAAACAGAGTGTTGAGAGATTATAGAAGCTTTTCTTTAGATGACTGGCGTGGAATGGTAGAACTTTCAAGCTGTCATATATTTGATGGGGGTATTCTTTCTGGATAAGGTAAGAATAGGCCAGATCATGGAGAAGATGACATAATTTACTTATAAATCCATAACAGTATGGTCTATTGGTTAAAGATAGTGAGGAAGTCATAAGAGAAGATTTCTAGAATTAGTATCATTGCCATGTCGCTTCCTAACCTTTCAAAAGTCCTGGAATGACAGTGCTCTCAGAATGGGAAGAAGCTTTAGAACATTCCTTCAAAACGGAAGATCAATGTGACATCATTCCCAACTTTCCCATCTTTTCCAAACAAATAAAAATCCTGGATTAACTATTTTGAAAAATAAAGTATGTTGCCAACCTTGAAAGCAATTTGAATTATTCGGAAACAAATGGGAAGGTCACAGGTTACAGCAGTTATAATTACATCAGAAGCTGTGCAGTTCTAGTCCCAAAGAAAAAGCTCCTATTCCTTAAGTTTCCCATATTAGACTTTAGAGTTACATGTTAATTTGTCTGTACACTGAGTTTAAAACTGCTTTGTACTAGCATCCATCATGCAGCCTTATTTCTGCCTTTTAGAGTCATACTGAAAGATTTAACATTTTTACGTAAAGGAATTCTTTGCAAATATAAAAATAGTTTTTAATCCAATTGCTACACTTCTTTTTTCTTTTTTTAAAAAATTATCCAACTTAAACTTAGTTTGCATCCTTTCATTGTTCCTCATGAGAGGGGCTCACTCAACTTGGCCTCAGTCTTTTGCTTGCTGCCATTTAACAATGTTCTTCATGTCTGAGGCCCCAGGTATAAGCCAAGTTTCCAGGTGTGACTGTGAATATTTCAGGGAATAGGAGGGCAGACCAGCCCTCTCTTTGCTCTGAAACCATACTGTAATTAATACAAAGAACAGATGCATTTGGTTTTTTAGCTGTGTGGATTTGTAAACTCCTGCTAATTGAGTTTTCAACTAAAACCTGTTTTTTCACATGATGTTATTTACCAGGTATCAAGTAGAATGCAGTGTTTCAAAGGTAAACACACACACACATACACGCACACGCGCACACAGACACACACACACAGTGGCAGCAACAGAATCTATCTTTAAATCCCTTCTTCTCTACTTATTATCTCTGTGACCCCAATGAGCTATTCAATTTTTTTGAGCTTCATCTGTTTTGTTTTAAAGTGAATAATGATTAGCGACAAAGCTTATGTTACTTAATTTAGGCGAAGTACCTACCACGATATGAGGACACTTAAAGTATTTCTTGTTGTGTTTTGAACAGACTAATTATTAGTATAATTATTTCTTGATCCAAGTTAAAGACTTCTTTTTAATTAAAATACAATCTCCTAGAGAATGTCTACTGTTTTAAATGTTATCATCAGTCATTCTTGGTGTTTGTTATCTCCTCCTAATCGTCTATATACACACACATCCATGCATTTCTTAAAAATAAACAGCCATGTAAACACACACCTACATCACTGAAAAAAACTATTGAATGGCTCAGAGACTTGTGGCACATCACGAAGGACTGGTCTATGCTGTGATCATTAAACTATCTTTAATCTATTTGATCTCTGTGCCAAACTTCCTCACAGACTTGACGCCTTTTTTGAATATGAAAAACATTGTTTTATTTTCTTGTTTATAAAAAGAAGAGTGCAAATTAAGTGAAATGAATGTTTAAAATTCAGTCTTAAGAAAAATGACTAGATTTATATTTCAGAGCTGCTGTGTATATTTAATTCAGGAACATTAAGCAAATGCTTAACTCAAGATTCAGTTAACTATTCTGTAAAAAAAGGAATAATATCTCTACTTAGTTTTCATCAGGATTGAAAGAGAGAATACATAAAAATTGTGTAGCACAGTGCCTGGCACACGTTAAGAAGTCAAAATTATTATAATTCTTGTGGCTCTTTCTAACCCCACCAATTTCTCCAGTATCATTTGCTTTCATTCACCATATAATTGTTTAGTGTTATCAAAATAAAAGTGTGCTGATTCCCATCCATGCAGCAATACAAACAATAATTATGGGGTAGCTGGCAAGCAAGTAACTTTGATGTCGCAGTGCTGGAAAGACACGTAGTTTATGTTTTGTTTTCTTTCTTGATTCAAGATGTGATTTTTCATGCTGTTACAGAACAAGTAGAAGCACAGCTTAGAGTTTTAAAGTATGGATTTGTGTTCATCCCATTTCCTATCTCAAATGATATTTGGGAGAGAGGAGTGGATCCTTTGAATGCATCCCACTGTCCCCCTCTGATACATAAAGGTATCTATAAATTCTGAGCACTTTATTTTTTGTAAGTCACAATGCCTCCAAAGGAGACAATTTTTGTGAGTGTCAGAGTCATGAGGGCTTAAAGGATTCTACGCTGACAAGAGAAGACGCAAACTGTTTCTCATTCCTGGCCAATTGTTTTAGAAGCAATGGTTGGAAAAGGAGCTGGTTCTTAACTTGGCTCCTTTTAGAAAGTACTTGGAGGAAGATGAGAAGTGATGTAAAACTCAGGGTTAACTTTATTAGAAAAAGAACCACTCACGGAATTGCATTTAGAAACTTGGCAACCTCAAAAACTTGAACTGTGGATTTTAGAGAGTCCTTTCTCAACAGTTCATGCTGAATACAACTGATAAAATGAGCCCAAAAAAAGAAAAGATATCACCTACTTATAAAGAGAAATGAAAACTGTTTTCGACTGTCATAAAATTCTTATCAGATACACAGACTATAATTAACCTGATATATGTATATAAGAATTGTTATAAAAGGTGTGATTACACTGTGAATGAATTATGTTGTTTAGCTAGTCATGAAAACATCAAAATTAAATTTATAACAACACGTATATTATTCAGTGCTTCATGATTTATTTTCTCGTATTTACAAAATTTATACCTAAGAGTCAAGCAGAAAAAAGAGAAAAGATATTTTCTGTTTCATAAAAATCCATCTCTTTAACTTATAAAAACTGTTTGGCACCTGAAAAAAGAAAGGGAATGAAGATGGGCGAACAAACACAGGCTTTCAGTATGGAGTGGTTTCATAGCTACATTTTATATAGCAAGGAAAACAAAGAGGATCCTGATAAGACTCTTCATCATTAATCTCCGTCTACTGCTGGTGCATAATCTATATGAACAGGGACAGGTTTGGGGGATTTGTAGCAGGTATTAGGTCACATTTCTCAAGCAAATAACTTTTCAGTATATGTGTATGCCTTAATCTCTAAGTAAGAGAAAAATTCTTTATTCTTATATTTGTTTTATGAACTTCACTGGCAAAATATTTAAATTTTTTAGTATCTATAAATGAGATGCCGGGGACAAAAAACCACAATAAAACAGAATTTCATCTGGATTTGCCTGACACAGACAAATTCTCCAATCCATTGTCTGTTTAGAAGGTAACGTGGTTCTGGCCAGGCACGGTGGCTCACGCCTCTAATCCCAGCACTTTGGGAGGCTGAGGCAGGTGGATCACAAGGTCAGGAGTTCGAGACCAGCCTGACCAATATGGTGAAGCCCTGTCTCTACTGAAAATACAAAAATTAGACAGGCGTGGTGGTGCACGCCTGTAATCCCAGCTGCTCAGGAGGCTGAAGCAGGAAAATCACTTGAACCCGGGAAGTGGAGGTTGCAGTGAGCCGAGATTGAGCCACTACACTCCAGCCTGGGTGACAGAGCGAGATTCAGTCTGAAAAAAAAAAAATGAAGAAGAAGAAGGTAACATGTTTCTTTTGTAACAAAAATGAGATAGTTTCTTGTGTTTAAAAGTTTCCACTGACTGCCCATGAAATAATATTGAAACTTGCATATGGCTTACGAGGCCCTTCCAGACCTTGTTCCTGAATTCTTCTCCGATTACTTTTTCCACTTTCCCCACACTCGATGGTCTTCTTCGGTTCTTGGAACACACCGAGGCCTCACATCTGGTTTTCCTCTGCCTTCTCACATCCTGATTCCTGTGTCTGATGATGGTACTGCCTACTTTTTACCTGCCGGACTCATTCTTTATTTTCAGGTTTCAGATTACAGTACATGTAACTTTCTCAAAAGGGCTTTCCCTGATGTGACAAATATTATTTGTGCTCAACAATTGCTGGTCTTCTGCTCCATCTTAGGCATAAGGGAGTTATGTCTTAGGATGTAAGGGAGATACATCCCAGCTTCCTTGGCTTTATGCTGGGCCGTGTGACTCATTCTGGCCAATGACAAGCAGAAATGGCAAGTGTTGCTTCCAAGCTGGGGCAGTCAAACTACCCATGTGATTCTGCTGACTCTCTTCATTTTTGACAATGAGCTTGTTGAGGTGGTGGAGCCTGAAGACCTGAGTATATCACTGAAACACCACAAGGAGGACAGGTGTCTTGGAGGGTTGGCTAGACCAGCGGTCCTCAACCTTTGGCATCAGGGACAGGTTTCATCAAAGACAGTTTTTCCACAGAACTGGGGAGGGGATGGTTTCAGGATGATTGAAGCACATACATTTATAGTGCACTTTATTTCTATTATTACATTGTAATATATAATGAAATAATTTCACAACTCACCGTAATGTAGAATTCAGTGGGAACCCTGAGTTTGTTTTCCTGTAACTAGATGGTTCCATCTGGGGATGATGGGAGACAGTGACAGATCATCAGGCATTAGATTCTCATAAGAAGGGTGCAACCTAGATCCCTCGTATGTGCAGTTCACAACAGGGGTTGTGCTCCTGTGAGAATCAAATGCACTGATCTGATAGGCAGTAGAGCTTAGGTGGTAATGCTGGCTAGCCTGCTGCTCACCTCCTGCTGTGCGGCCTAATTTCTAACGGGCCACGGACTACCAGTACTGGTCGGCGGCCCAGGGGCTGGGGACCCCTGGGTTAGACCACAACTGATTGTGTAGATAAAAATAAATGTTAACTGTAGCCTGACCACATCATTCAAATTAGGTTCACTCTATTATTTGCTTTAATAGCACCTATCACAACTTTGTTAAAATTAGTTATGTATTCGATTTACTTATGCAATACCTTTCTCCTCTAGACCAAGGGTTGGCAATCATTTTTGGCAAAAGGACAGATAGTAAATATTTTACGTCCTGTGGGTTCTAAGGCCTCTGTTGGAACTACTCAATTTTCCTATCCCAGCATAAAACCTGTGACAGACAATATGTAAATGAGTTAGTGCATCTGTGGTCCAGTAAAACTTTACTTACAAACACCGGTAATGGGCCAGACATATTTTGCCCACGGTCTGTTTGCCAACCATGTGCTAGAGTATCAGATCTACAGATGTAAGGAACTTTTTTTTTTTTCTTTTTTTGGACGGAGTTTCGCTTTTGTCTCCCAGGCTGGAGTGCAGTGGTGTAAGATCTCGGCTCACTGCAACCTCTGCCTCCCAGATTTAAGCGATTCTTCTGCCTCAGCCTTCCGAGTAGCTGGGATTACAAGTGCCTGCCACCATGCTCGGCTAAATTTTGTATTTTTAGCAGAGACGGGGTTTTGCCATATTGGCCAGGCTGGTCTTGAACTCCTGATCTCAGGTTATCCGCCTGCCTTGGCGTCCCAAAGTGCTGGGATTACAGGCGTGAGCCACAGTGCCCAGCCCGTAAGGGACATTTTTTACTTATGATGATATAACTTTCACTTAGCAGAATTCTGGCCACATGGTAAATAATAAAATCTGCTTTAAAATTAATGAATGAATGAATCAGGTATGCTAAGAGCAATCATTGCTAGATTAGGGAGTTTAAAGTTTCTCTTCTGTAGTCTGAGAGCCATGCTGTTGGATAGAACTATTTAGACAGAAACTAGAAAACCTAATCTCAGATTCTAGGTCTGCAGATATGGGTAAGGTCATAGTTATTGTATCTATAACCATCTTTATTTAACCTCATAGTTCTTTTAGCATAAAAGATAAATGGACAAAGGCATTAACTATATACAATAGGCTCTAATAAAATAGAAGAAAATATACCCTGAATCCTAGAATTCATGCAGTCTGACTAAATTTTTAAATATAGATTAAAGCACTAGAAACAAAAATGTGTAAAACTAAATGGTCTTACATAATTATCTCCTCACCCAACTATTTCTTATTGTTCTTGAACTTAATGTTAACTATGCCATTACGATCACATTAACTATGCTTAAGTTACCACACATTAATTGAATATGTACATTTATTAAATATGTATTATATGCGAGGTACTCTGATAAATTCACGTGAAGGATCTCATTTAATCCTTATAACAACTCTATTAGGAAACGTAATGTTTACTGTTTAAATTTTAAAATAAGAAAATGGAGACATATATATATATATGTATGAAGAAATTTGTCCAACGCCCAGTAAATAAAATGGTAAAGCCAAAACTTAAACCTAATTCTGAGTGATTCTAAAATTATTATGCCATAGTGCTTCACCAAACTTGATTAAATTAGTAATGATAATACTGATACACAGAGAATTGCTTTTTTAAGCGAAAAATTTACCCTAGTTTTTTTGAAGCTAAGGTAGAGACTTAAAATATTATTTCTAAGCAGCTGGATCAACTATTAAATATTTTCTTGTCTTATACATTAATCACAACCTCAGCAGATCAATCAGCCATTCACATTTGATTTGGCATCAGAAAAATGTAAGAATACGTGACTGAGCAATTTCTAAAAATTGAACTAGTTTTTCTGTATTATCCAAGTGGATCAAATAAAAAGAAATATGAAAGGACATATTTCATTATTACAATTTGTGAACAGAAACTGATATGATCATTACAACTCAATATCTATTAATGTAGGAAGACTGCATAAAAGTGTTGAAAGAGATTTGAAGACTAAAATTTCTCAACATTTAGCTGTTTATTTTTTTAAGTATTTGAGAAAAGAGATTTGCAGACTCAGTTCACTGCTAATGGAAAATTTTCTAGCCTTCCTAGCTCCTCCATCATTTTGGGGAAGAAAGGATTATAACCATTTCCTAGGTATTACTCATTCTAAAGAAATCTGCTTACAATTAGCAAAAATAGACAATAATTTCTTTCAAATTATAGGTCATTTTTAATATTTTCCTATTTTAAAATGTTTGAAAGTTCATACTGGGATTGTGCAGAACATAAACAATATTCAAATGTTATTCAAATATCTCTTTACTACTAGTTTACAGAAAATTTCTCAATGCAGTAACCTACTCTTCACGACAGGGAGGATTGAACGCTTGGAGAGGTTTCAATGAAGCAGGATTTGGACTGCTTTATTTCTACTTTTAGGGCAAATAAATGACTATAGGTTATGTATTTAAAAATTTGTTTTGTCTACAAAAAAAGGCGGAGTTGAATTCCCAATATTGACTGTGCAATATAAATTATATATATATATATGTTTTTTAAAAGTGTAACTTATATACATAAAGTATAAATAAAAATTATATATACATATATAAATGTTCTTTATATATATTTTTTGAGTGTTTGACAAATACTCAGAGAAAATTACATAGTGCAATTGAAATAAGAATGTATAAAATGATTGCACTTCTCCATCTGGAAGAACTTCATGAGTACACATTGAGATCCTCTCCTTCGATAGGTGAAGCTCAGCTAGATTAAAGGGAGAGAATCAACACAGTCATTATTAGAAGTTACACAAATAATCAGCCTGAATTGAACTCAATTCCAGATTACACTACTACCTGGGCAAATTGCTTTAAAGTTCTCCACAACCTTTTCTATAAAAAGTTGGTGTGTCTTACATGTAAGCTATTTATAGGATTGAATATTACACTTATATACTCATAGTGAAATGTTGAAATACATTTTGGATAAAGCACCCAGCACAACACTTAGGATCTAGCAGATAACTACAGTTGTTTTTAAAATCGCATTATCGTTGTCATCATCGTCTTCACCCTCAATGTCTTGATCTAGATCACACAGCTAACTGATGAAATAGAAATGAATAGAAGGCTGGTTACCTGACTCCAATGTAGTATTCTTTCTGATATAACTTATAAAAAAGTTTGAGATTTTGTGAACCAATATGACAGAAAGACATTTACAGAGGAGATGAAGCCAGTAATTTTTAAAGAATAGGTACGACTGAAAAAGAATACTAAAGGCATTCGAGCAGTTGGGAAGGAATGGTATGGGAGCTGTATCAGTATCAAATGCTCAGAGACCAGAGAAGCGTGGTGTTTATGGAAGATACGTTTTTCCGCCCAACTAAAATGTTGACCATGATGAGAAGGAAAAAAATATATCATGTAGCAACTTGCTATTCAGGTATGTTTGGCTATAAGGCAGAACAAACAACAAAGCATCATCATTGTAGGGTCTTATTAAAGGAGTAACATAATAATATCACTCTAGTATTTCCATGTGCAATAGTATAGTTAAAATGGTAAGAAGAGGCAGTGAAAACTACTAACAGATCCTTGTGGTAAAGGGGTTGTAAAGAGATTAAAAATAATGTTTTAATTTTGGCTATTTCTAGAATATTGATGGTTGCGGAGAGAAGCAAGGAATTTTTTTTTTCCCAGAGATATCTTGAATTCTTTGCAGAAGAGAAACTAGTCTATAACCTAAAAGCAAATGCCTATATTTCGTCTTCTTTCTCAGTTGCATGAATGAAACCTCAGGTTTTAGGAAGGGTTCAAAAAACAGAGCTCCACATCAGGTTCAGAGATAAACTAGGCTTCATGCCCTTTTGAGAGCAATCTGCCCATGGAGGATTATTAGACATCTTGGTCAGGACTGAATTTGAACTAGGTTCCAAGGATGAAAGCTCACCGGCTAATCTGCTGAGCTACCAAGGCCACTGCTGTGCTGGTTTATAGAAATCCTATTAACTGAGAGATTGAAGGGAAGGAAGATAAGATAGCGAGGTGTTGGAAATCAAGCTTCAGTGACTTCAACAGAAAAGGTACTTTGAACCATGCTATTGTATACAGATAGGAATTAAATGCCACACACATAGTAAATGTGTATGTGCATATGTGTGTGTAACTGTGTACATAAAATTATATATTTTCAACGCATCTATTTTGCATGTACTTCATGGTTCACAAAAATGTTCAACATATTTAACCTGCAGATTTTTATAACATAGGATGGGAGTTCACGTTGAAATCCATTTTCTTATTCTAGCTCTTCAAAGCCCACAATGATGAATATAACAAAACCACTTCTCTATACTGTGCAATCAGTCATATTCAATACTGTCAGGATATACAAGAATAATGAATCTTAATTCTGTTATTCACTAACATTTATTTTTCTTCTGGTTCTGAGAATACCTACCGCAAATAGTATCTGCTGGTGCTCATTTCAGTATAACTGGAATGGAACAAGAGAGCTGCATGAATTGCCAATTATAAACATCTGAGTTTAGATTTGAAAGTAAATTCAGCAGCTAAGATCATGACAGGAAATCTGCCATACCTTTTAGGATATGACTTACTCATGCTGGAAAGTTATATACCTACACAGGGTTTTATTCACCTATCCAGAGAATACATTGGATTGGATTTAGTGGTCAGTAGTATTCTTTATTATCCTAGATAATCTAAGCCTCTATATTAAAATTGCTTGTGAATGAGAAAAATAAATAAATAAAGCTGCAGATATGAAGGTGGCAAAGTCCCTCCTAAGAGGGAGAAAGAACATGGAAGCCACATGTCAGAAATCTAAAACTCGAGTATCAATTCTGCTTCTAAGAAGTTAAGGCAGTGGGATGGGGATGGGGTTGAGGGGATAGCACTGAGAAAATGACTGGACATCTCTGAGCCTTTGTCATCTCATTTACATTTGATAAGACCAGATGAAATTTGGACTTCTTTCTAGCATTAAAATGTACTGATTTAATTAATTTTCTAAATAGATTCTATATTTAGTTCTTCATGAAATTGGGTGAGGATTCTGGTCACTGGGTGACACTGGACAGGACATCTTTTCTGAGCTGTGGTTTCTCTGTAAAGAAGTACTCTGGTGTGTACTAATAACGTGGGTGCGCTGTAGAGAGCCTGTGCATGAAGGGACATGAGTGTGCTCTCTCTTCTATAACGCATAAAAATGATATATGAACATAAAATAATCATCACAAATTAAGTTGATGATTAACAAATGGCCACAGACATACTGAGCTGATGGAAGATTTTCAAAACTTCATTTAATTTAAAAGAAAACTGAGATAAATGTAACTTGCTTGGTCTTTCTCATTTTGAGGTAATTTTCAGGATGACATAAATTAAACATTTGTGGCAGAATATTTTCATTTGCTGTAAGATAAGATTCTTAGAAACAGTGTGATTTTGGAGGTTTGTGGTTGAAAGCAAACTGATTTTATCAATTTTCAGGCAAAAAATAACGATAATACAAGATAAACCTCCAAAAATATCAAACATTTTCTAAACTTTATTCCTGAACTCTGGCAATACTGCAGTGTAAAAACATTGAAAATTTACTCAGAGTCCGGCTGGGTGCGGTGGCTCACGCCTGTAATCCCAGCACTTTGGGAGGCCGAGGTGGGCGGATCACCTGAGGTCGGGAGTTCAAGACCAGCTTGGCCAACATGGAGAAACCCCGTCTCTACTAAAAATACAAAATTAGCTGGGGTGGTGGCACATGCCTGTAATCCCAGCTACTTAGGAGGCTAAGGCAGGAGAATCGCTTCAACCCGGGGAGGCAGAGGTTGTGGTGAGCCGAGATCGCACCATTGCACTCCAGCCTGGGCAACAAGAGTGAAACTCCGTCTCAAAAAAAAAAAAAAAAAAAAAGAAAAGAGAAAAGAAAATTTACTCTGAGCTATGTTAAATGCTGTCAAGGTAACCTTACTGTTACCTTAAATGTAAAATAAAAGTGATGCTTTGTATACTGTTGTTGAGAATATTTTATTTTTTTGTGAATTTCCACACTCATAAACTAAAAATTATGAAGAAGCAACGATGGGCACACAGCCATGCTGGCAAATGATCAAAATATAATCAAGATACAATCACAAGAAATAAGACTTCTTATTTTACAAAATTTGAAGCATGTACTATGCTTATATCCTCTCTTCTCCTGGGTATCTGTAGTCTTTGAACACCAGAAAAAAAAAATGCTCAATTTAGAACAGAAAAATGAAACCAAGCCAGGCTCGGCATGGATGCTCTGTCTTAAGCTCTTAACTTATAACCATGTCTGAGGAGCGTGCAGGAGGAATGGCCTTTGCAGATATTCACTGCATTGTTTTTGAAGTGGAGAGTTCATCACTGGTTTTAGTCAATACATCTAGCCAGACTCAAACACCATTTACCCTTGAATCTTAAACCGTGTGCTGTGGCTGTGAACTGGTCCAATCAGAGGAAACTTTCTGCAAGTCCATCCTCACAGCACACAATGCTCACGTTGCTTTCGATCTCCGCGCCATTGAGCTATCACTCAGGCTTGTTCCTGAGTTAGCATCTTGAGCCATTCTTGTGATATAACAGGGGCTCTCTTTCACAGAGCCCTGTCTTCTTTTAACATCTTATTTTCAAGAGCAGGATTTCAAGTTTGAAGAAAAATGTTACTTGCACATTCCTAAATATTTTCACTGGGTTAGGGATTTTCTATCTTTTATTGCCGAGGACCAACACTTACTACCTTTGAAGATTCCTGGGATCCAGGGCCCAGGATTAATAGCTCTGGGTTAAGAGATGATTTGATTACTTTTACGGAAATAATATATATTTCAGAATGATGTGGATCTAGCTTAACCTGTTCAGTTTATAAATCTATACGATGGAGGTGAACTTTCTTATAGGCTGTTTTTCATGTTTTCACTGTATAGCAACATTTCACAAAGTGTACTGTAGAGCACCGTCCACACCACAAGATGCTATAAAGCTGAAAGAAAAAAAAATTTACTCAAACGTAAAAACAAAAGAAAATATACAATATTCCCTCTCCCAAGATCCCAATGTATATATTAAAGGCACTCTTAATTTATAGAAACCTACTATGTTTGACTATTGGGTATTTAAGAAGTTTTCCTTCACTTTCATCCCACAAAAATCCACACAAAGACTTTTGTGACCAAATGTGTGTGTTTCTTTTTCCCTACATACCAGCAAGCAATCAGTTTTGCAGTGGACACCAGCTGGGTATCCTCTAATTCAATACAATTCTGACACTGATTACCTGGAGACAGCGTCAGATCCCAAAGGTTGAGGGCTTCGTCTCACAAGACTGCCTCCTGACTGCTGATGCCAATCACAAGCCTGAGCTTCTGACCTACTGGCTATAAATTGGGGTTCCTATAACCCCATCCTTGGGTTCAATTAATTTGCTAGAAGGGCTCACAGAATCGAAGGAAATACCTTTCCTGGTTTATTACAACGAATATTACAAACGATACAGGTCAAGAGATGCATAGGGCAAGGCACATGGAAAGGGGTAAGAAGGCCCCAGGCCCTCTCCAGGTGTAACATCCTCCAGGATATCCAAGTATTTTGCTATCCAGAAGCTCCCTGAACCCTGTCCTTCGGGTTTTTATGGAGGCTTCATTACATAGGCATGACTGATTAATCCCATTGGACATTGGTGATCATTACAACCTTAAAGTCCTGTCTCCTCCCTAGAGGTTGAGGAGGTGGGGGTGAAAGTCCCAACCCTCTAACTCTGTCTTCATCTTTCTGGTGACCAGCCCCATCCTGAAGCTACCAACAGGCTGCCAGCCATCAGTCAACTCAGTAGCAAGCAAAAAGACATCACTTTGGAGATTCTAAGGATTTTAGGAGTTGCATGCCAGGAAACAGGGACAGAGACCAAGTATAAATTTCACAAAATCATGGTCAGCCCTTGGTCTTCAAACATGAATCTCTTACGTCAAAAGGATATATAACTCAAAAGAGACTGCCATATTATTAGAATCCCACTCAGTCATTAATAATTAGTCCAGTTCATCATATGGCATGAAAATATCTCCCAGAGTGGGGTCATTCAGGTTTTCAGGCTTCCATTTCTTCCTCTCAGGTCCCCAAAGCAGCGTGGGCTTGGCAAACATGTAGCTTTACCCTTTTATGCATCTGGTTAGAATTGAGCTAGGAGACAATACAATCTCTTGCTCTAGGCTCTTTTGAGGTGTGAAGATTGGATTTCCATCAATTCATAACTAATGTATTCACTTCTTTACTCTCAGCTACTATTCCTCCTTCTGTCCATTAATACCCACACATTTTCACTAGTCTAGCAATTACCTCCTCCTCAGTCCACTCGCATTCAGATAGGTTAAGTAACTAGCCGAACTAGTTGTCTATTTTTATTTATTTATTTTTTACCACCAGTCATTATAGCTGCATTCACTCTGAGACCCAATTTTGGCAGATGGGGTGAAGGCACAACACTTTCTCATCAGGGCCTTAGAAATGCTGACATAAGGTTTGAAAACATAGCCGCAGTTTTTTGCTTAGGAATCATCCCTGCTTCCAGCACTTATAGTTGCAGTCCTGGTCCTAGGACCACTGTATCAGGTAGGAAAAAAAAAAAAATGAGGTGATTTAGGGAAGAAAGAAAGCATAATAGTCATTATATCAGGTTATTCACCTCATGGAAAGGATTGCATCATTCTACCAGTATCTTCTCTACCCTCTCCTTTCCAGATTAACCAAAAAAACTGAGGGACATTTAAAGGAGACACCCCATTAGTCCCTATCATGTTGAGTGTGAGCACACGCTCATGAAAGCGCATAAAGCCAGCCCGTCATCCTTTGATCTCCTCATGTCAGACAACCGTATACTTCCCAATTCATTTAAACATGTGAGCATTTTCTGTTACAAAGACTCTAATGCTTCCTATAGTACCCCTGTGCAATTAGAATTTTAAGACCTGGAAACCCACTACTTAGAAACAGACAGTGGAGTTACCATTGCGGCATTATGATTCTGTTATCACTTTCTTCTTCAGTGGGAAATGTGGCCTCTGCACTCTGTTAGTTTTCTTCACATTATTCCTTTCCAAATCTCTTCACTCAAATTAGACCAATCCTAGCCTCCTGTTGCTTATGACATGAAAAACTCCCAACATGTTACAAAAAGTCTTATATCTGATGCCAATTAATCTTTCTCGCTGATACCCCACGTCTCTCCTCCCATTGACCCACTGTTTAACAAAGTGATCTACCTGCCACCTACTGAACACAAAATGCTCTCAGCGCATGCCACTTTTGGTGCATTGAAGTCCCTCTCCACCACATTTTTCATTGCCTAAATTGTACATATTATTCTACATATAATTGAAATGTCATTTCTCTATGAAGATTTACATTCTTCCCCTTCCTGGGATCTCTTTTGCTTCACTATGATCTAACATCTCCTTGGACCCATCTTTGTATAGTACTTTCAAAATAGTATCAAAACGATCCTTTAAATGTCTCTTTGCAAGTAAATCTAATCTGAGGTGCTAGAAGTCAGAGTGGTAGATCTTTCTTGGTGGGGAATTATTGACTGAGAAGGAGCAGGTAGGAGCCTTCTGGAATAATTTTTTTTAAAAATATAGGTGGTGGTTATATGTTATACATTTAAGATTTGTTCACCAAATTTATTGTTGTTATGTGCCACAATAGAAAATCTGAAAAATATGATCCCCTACCAATGTCTGAATCACCTGAGGAGAGGCACTTTTATTCACCTTTTCATTTTCAAAGTATTTCACTGTGCCCAGCACAATGGGGGCATACAAATCTGAAAAGCAAATCAATGAATGAACATATAAGGAGCCCCCTTACCTGGGTACAGCTTTAGCTTGTCAAGAGAGGAGCACATTTCAGGTAGAGAAGGACAATTTAATTAGCTATACTTTGAACAATCATAAGAAATAGATGATGATATGCAGTTAGTAACTTTGAAGATGAGACAAGAATATGCAGACTGATTAACAATTCTGAATAGAACTTTAGTGTTTGGCAACATTTCAGTAATGTAGTTCACTGAACAGCTCAGCGAATACCTGCACCCCATGTGTCTTCTATTTTCCCTTACAATTAAGACATCTCCTAAAGGCTAATAAACAATGGGTACCTCCCTGAAGAACAATAAATATATCAAATTGACTCAAATATTATTACTTAACATTAAGTGCCAACTGTACATAACTTATAACTAGCATTAATTCTTTGCCCTTGAGAATCCTATGTTTAAAAATAAAAGTTACAACATTAGAAGAGACAGAAAAGAGATGAAAATTCATTAGTTCACATCTCCTATTCATTGAAATACGTATGAAATGCCTGTTACAAGTTAGGAACTGTGCTAGACTCTGGCGATGGCTGGGGGGAATTAGCCTGGAAAGCAAGATCTCTGCTTTCATGCAGCTTATAGTCTGGCAAAAGAATAAAAAGTAGAAATAATTTTCATTTATGTGCTTTTCTCTGTGCTAACCATTTTGAATGTGTTTATTTAATTATCATATCAGTCAGATGAGACAGATATCACTATTATTCCCATATCACAAATAAGGAAGAGGCTGAAACTTCATTCAGATACTAAAAATACACTTACATGATTTTCCTATGTAAATTTCTGAACTTCTAGGGAGCAGGGAACAGGTCTTAATACTTCTGTGTATGTTCCTCAGTATCCAGCACTATGCTGGGAACATAGTAGGGTGAAACTATTGTCTGACTATGGTGATGGTAGTTGACCTACAATTCTTTTCTTGTTCTTCAGAAATAGGAAAAGGAGGAATATTTATTTCCTGTGTAAGAGATATATAGTCATATTAAATTCTATGTTTAATCTATCATTATATGATTTAGCACTGCACATTAAAGTAGTTGGCACATAGCACGGCTTAGGCCAACTCAACCAAATTTATTAACTGTCTATAGAGTGGGACTGTCCATGCTTCACCCACATCCCCGAAGATCCAGCTTACTATTTTATACACTCAACCTTCAGCGTCTTTGTACTTTGCTTCCAACAACTTGTACCAGCAACACAGAAAGTCAGCACTACCTAGGAGTATACAGGGCCCCACCAACACTTACCCAATGACTGATTGCTGCAGAATATAAAAGGTCAGCTACCTTTTCTCAAGGTAGCACCAACTCTAGGGTACAATTTACTCTCCAGAGCTCCTCATGAAACCAGGTCAAGAATAGGCCTTTATCTGAAATTGCTCCCTTGCTGGAATGGGATTCCTCCCTTCCCTCTTCTATCCCCCCCGCCTCCTCCCTGACCGATTTCTCCTTAAAGTACCTCCTCAATAGATCATTTGCACATAATGCTTTATCTCAGTCCCTGCTTTATGGAAACCAACTGCAGGTAATTTATTTTGTAGTTTATGAGAATATCAGTCAGGGTTCTCCAAAGAAACAGAACCACTTGGGAATATATATAGAGAGGGAGATTTATTTTAAGGAATTAGATCACATGATTATGGAGTCTGGCAGTCCAAAATCTGTAGGGCAGCATGGCAGCCTGGAGATTCAGATAAGGGTTTATGTTGCAGTCTTGAATCTAAAGTTCATCAGACAGACCAGCAGGATGGGAACTCAGGAAGGATTTCTTATGTTATGGTTTTGAGGGTGAATTCCTCCTTCTCTGGGAAACCCTAGTTTGTGTTCTGAAGACCTTCAACTGATTGGATGAGGCCCACCCAGATTATGGAAGTGATCTGCTTTGTTTCAGGTTAAATGATTGTAATTGTTCAGTCACCTCTAAGAAATGCCCTCATAGCAACATCTAGATTAGTGTTTGACCAAGCAACTGGACACAAAGCCTAGCCACGTTAGCACATGAAATTAACCATCGAAAGAAGGGAAGTTGGGAATGGTGGAACTCAGCTGAAGGACATCATCCTGAGCTGAAGGACATCATCCACAAGAGCTCAGAGACAATGTACAGTTTTGTTCTGTGCCTCAGCTTTCTTTATGTGGGATGGACCTAAGAGCACCTGAATATGGATGAAGTGGAGAGCAATGTTGTTCTCATGCCTTGACCACTCTGAAGTATTAGGCTGAACCACTAATGCCCTAACAGAAGTTGAAGGGCCGATTTGATGTGATTTATTATGGGAGCCAGGAAACAGGCCAGTTCACCCACCTTGTTAAATGCTTTCATAATGCCATATACCGCTCCTTCATTGAACAAATATTAATTATACTACAATTTGGGTCACTTTTTAATTAACAACTCACAACCCAATTAGAATGCAGGTTCCTGGAGGTGAAGGGTTGGTTTTATCATTGAATCTCCAAACCCAGTGGGCATGTCTGGCACAATGAAAGTTTATTGAGTAAATGCCAATGACATTAACTTATTAATATAAATATCATCTCATTTGTATATTATGTAATTCATATAATTCTATGTATAACTTTATATATAAGTGCTATAAAAATCACATCATTAAATATAATACACACATACATACAGACACATACTCAAATACTTCATTAATTTGATGGATATATGAAAATTTTTAAAAACTTGAGGGATATCCTGAAGGAATGTTCTTATACTTTCTGCTTTTTCTGCTCTTATGTATATGATACTCCTTTCACAGGAAAAATATCTTTCAGTTTGTCATGCACAGAGATTCTCCTTGCAGATGATGAGGTAACACTCAGCCCTCAAAATTATCTTTGCTGGAAAATATATCAGTATCAGTTTACTGTTCCTAACTCCAAACAGGAAAAAAAGAAGAGAGAAAAGAATCAGACAAGGGGACCTGAGAAGCAGAAAGCAATTGGACTCTCTAAATTATACCGTTCTCAAGAGGAATTACTGGCACACACTGCTCCTTCCCCGGACCACGCTGCGCATCCCTTGGAACCGCTACAGAAGCATTTTATTGCTCATTAAATATTTTTTAATGTGAATTCGCTCTTGGCATTTCTACTTTATAGTTTTTTTTCTCACAAACCTTCCTGTGTTGCATACCTCCTTCCCTACTACACATAATTTAAAAGAAATTATGTAAGCTTATTTCTCTGATTAAGAAAGCCTAATGCGCGAACACACAAAGGATCTGACCAGCGTAGCTCAAGTAGCTAATGAATCTGGCAATGTTAAGCTCATTCTCAATAAAAATGGGCCCCACAAATCACTATAAAAAGTATGTTTTGTGCCTTAAGAGCCATAATCGTCACACATTTACAATTCATAACCAGTGACTGCAGGGTGCTTACTCTAGTTAATCCTCCATAGAATAGCGGATATTGATGCTGTGGAGAAGGGGCACAACAAAATCATCTGTCACTTGAAATACTCATTTGGGAAGCCTCCCACACCAATAAAATTCTGAAATGTAGCAGTGGGAAGCCTGAACACGTTCTTCTGCTTAAACTGTAAGTGAGGAGAAAGGTGAGGGTTTGATATGCCCTTGCACTTTGCTTGGAACAGCTTACCCCAGGTGTACTGGCTCCAAAATAGTAGAGAGAAAGCACAGTTGGATTGTCAAAAAGGTTATGTACCAAGCCTTCCCTGAACCTGTCTGGACCTAAAGACTTGGCGACTGAAGACACATGAGTTCTGAGAAGCTTCCATGTGTTGACTGATTTGGTTAAAGCACAACTGGTTTATGATAAATAGCCAGATGAGTTAGTCTCACTGACTTTTAGTGAAAAAGTTTAATATACTTACAATTCTTTTAGTAAGCCTGACACATTATATGACTGCTATTTAAAAATGATTTCCAAATCTTAAGAGTAATACTTGTTTGCAATTCAGTATTATTAACTGTAGTCACCATGCTATACATCAGATCTCCAGAACTTTTTATCTTTCAACTAAAATTTTGTGCCCTTTGACAAACAACTCTCTGTTTTACCCAATCTGAGCCCCTGACAACATTGTTCTACTCTTTGTTTCTATGAGTTCAACTTTGTAGATTCTACGTAGTATCAAGATCCTGCATTGCCAAAATGTGTAGGCTATCCCTGACGTCTATAGCAAATGGCCATACCCACACAACTGAATGTTTGGAATTACAGATTCCCAACTGGTAATCATGGGTATTTGAAATGAGTTCTTGGTCTTGGTGTAGTTTCAAATGTTCTTTTTCTTTTCTTTCTTTTTTTTTAAAGAACGTTCACGAAATTAGAAAAAGCTTATTTTTAATCCAATCTAACCCTTCTGCAATGCGAGCGAATTGTTTGGAATGATTTGAAGACAAGGGAAATGTATTAGGTGAACTTTGGATGATCTTGGCCATCTGTTTCTCTGCCCCTGAGAGCGGAGTTTCCAGGAGTCACTCAATCATTCGAACATAGGAACTTAAATAGAAAAAAAAAAAAAACAAAAAAAAACCTAAATAAAATCAGTTGTCCTTAACCCTGTCTTTCTTTCATTCTCTCCAGACACCCCCCTCCCACCATGTATTCCCCACAACTGCCACTCCTTATATTTCCTTGGATAAAATCATTGCAGTTTGTGATGCAAAATAATGATCCCTTGCTTCCTGGGTTTGCAATTTTAACCACACAAGCTTTTTAAGTTCAAGAGGCAGAATCAAAAGGCATTTTTATTCTATATTATAATAAATGTGAATATCAAAAGATTCTCCCAGAGTTGTGTGACTGCTGGCATTTGTAAAAAGTCAGAGAATCTTGGAATTGAAAGAAGCAGAAATGTATTTAGTATTTCATTTGACTCTTGATGCAGAGGGAGAGAGGGAAAAACCAAATGATAAGCTGTGTTGCAAACTTATACATTTTTTTTTTTTTTTTTTTTGTGAGACACAGTCTCACTCTGTCACCCAGGCTGGAGTGCAGTGGTGCCATCTTGGCTCATTGCAACCTCCACCTCCTGGCTTCACGCCATTCTCCTGCCTCAGCCTCCCGAGTAGCTGGGACTACAGGTGCCTGTTACCACACCTGGCTAATTTTTTTTTATTTTTAGTAGAGACAGGGTTTCACCATGTTAGCCAGGATGGTCTCGATCTCCTGACCTCGTGATCTGCCTGCCTCAGCCTCCCAAAGTGCTGGGATTACAGGCGTGAGCCACCGCGCCCTGCCACATTTCTTTTTACATGATGTGTTTATTTTTCTGGGATCTAGATAAATGACTATGGATGTTGGAGGCCACACAAACGTTTCTTGTGATTAGGTACATCTGAAGCCTGTTAGTAATAATATGAACCTGTGATTAATTAAGCAGCTGACCAATCATTACCTCCTCTTCCTTGCTCTTGTTACCCAATAAATAAGAAGGGCTGTGGAAGCTCAGGGGGACTGCCTTTGCTCACTAGAAGCAGGGAGCTCTCTTCTTCTTTCCCATGCTAGCCTTTTCTTTAAAATAGTTTCTTTTGTTTTGTGTTATCATTTCTACGTTCGTCCCTTCATTCAGTCTTGTAATGATGGTCTCAAGCAGTAACAGTAGTAACTGCTGTAATGCTCGTCTCAAGTAGTAACCGGGGCAGTCAGCCACAAGTGGCACCTGAACAGGGACTATCAGGGACAAACAGAGACTTGAAGAGACTTGAAGGGACCTGAAGAGGCCTTCAGGGATAAATAGAGACAATAGAGATAAGTAAGAGATAAGAGATGAGATAAGTAGAGACAAATAGAGATAGGCAGGGAAAGACAGGGACTTGCAGGAACTTGTGGGAACTAACAGATACCATAGGGACAGAAAGGGATAGATAAAGACTAGCAAAGACTAGCAATATAAGGTCAGTGCCCTAAAGAGGTACAAAAGTAGAGACTAGTAGAGACTAGCAGAGACTAGCAGAAACTAGCAGAGATTTGCAGGGATGGACAAGGACAGACAGGGACAGATAGGGTCCTACAGGGACTTGACTGAGGCATTTTTTCTTAAGATGGCATAATAAAGCTAGGCCAAAAACCAAACACAGACTCTGGTGCTGGGGACACCCTACTTGGCCCAAAGAGTTACCTTTGAGCTTACTGCTTAAGCTCTGTGTCTGCCACGCCTTGACCAGCTTACAAAACACTCCAGTTCTCAATTTAATCATCAATAAAATAGAGACAGTGACCCAGGTCCTGAGGAATTCCAAGGAGCATAGAGCCATCCTAACCACTCTTAAGCCAAATCCTTTAATTTTGTAAAGATTGGAGACAGGGTTATCACATGTTTACCTCACATTTATTTGGCTACTCCTCAGCACTCTTCATGAGTTTCATGGATGGAAACCAATGCTCCACTCACAGCTGTCAAATAACTGTCCCTGAACCCTGCTCACCAACTATTTGGACTGTAGATACCAACAGCCTTAGCGTGTGTTGAAGTACTTGCTACACTTGCTAATAAATAACCTCTTTATTTGTCTGATTGAAAGGATCAACCAAGAAAATCCACAGCCCCTACAGCCACACAGGTTTTCTTTTAGAAACGTTGGGTTTAAGGATGATTCTATTTATTAATACGAATGAACATTTCTTTAATTTGCTTCTTGAAAATTATTTAAAATAGTTGTCAAGTCACTTGTTTATAGTAGAGACTGTCGCCTATATGACATAACGAGGCTTCAGTGGTGCCTTTTTGCCTTTGTTTTTTCTAGAAATAAATCCCCTGCTAATATCTGGCTTTCTGCTCTGGGTTCATCTCACATCGCCTCCTGTAACTGGCTTGTTCTTTTCAGATGCTTGTTTTATGACACAAATGATACTTTTCTCTTTAGTTACTGTTTATTTTTAATAATGCAATAAAACCACACCTATAAGGAAAACCAGTACCTTGACAATAACTTAAATGAACTCATAAAGTCCTTCATCCTGTTTCCCTGCCTCCCTGAACTGGAGGTAACCATTATTCTGAATCTTATGTTGACAATTCTTTTGGGGAGCGTGTGTATGTGCATGAGGTCTCTTAATATAGCATATTTTAAAAAGTAAATTGTTTAATTTCAGTTGTTTTAAACTTGATAAAACGGTATACTATACAATCTTTTAAAAGTTACATTTATCATTCAATGTAATTCTAGAATTTATGTTTTTTAAAAAGTTGAATTTTTTACTGCTACACAGTATTTTACTGTTGTATAGGTTTGTGCTTTTGCAAACAAAAGTTTAATCCATGAATTAAGGGAGTTGTTTCTAGTAGACCAAGAGAAAAACAATAAAAATTAGTATAGTACATTTTTTAAGGTTTTGGTCTTCTTTAGGAGAACTCTGTGAAACGAATGAAGTTGTAAGCATGTTGCTTTAACCTTCTTTTGTGCTTAGAGGCAGCCCAGTCTGCTGAGTGGTGAACTTTCCGGGTTCATATTTAATGCAGACGTTGCCAATCCTCTGAGGCCAGCACTGTGAAAAATAGTTCTACTGCATCGCTTTACCTAAGCCTTGCCTGTATAGTGACAGGCTGTGCATCCCTCCTGTATAGACATGCCTGATTTAAGTAAATGTGAGTGAGGGAGGGATATGCTATAACGCCTTTCAATATTAGGACCACAGGTTTGTTAGAGGTGACATTATGGCTTCCATTTTTATGTTGCTTCCATTTTTATGTTGGGTAGCGATTATTTGGCCTGTGGACTCCTAAGAGAAAAAACAAAGAAACCAAACCACTAGAGGTCCTCATGGCTCCCCATTTCCTACCCATCTTTAAAGTACAATTATAGTGAGAACAATATGTGGTAGGGAAAACAAAAGATATTCAGAGGTGAGTATTTCTTTGCAGGAACACTCTAGTCTACTCTCATCCTGATGTTCCATCTTCAGTGAATTTCAAGAGTTACACTAGGATATTACTTTTACTCCAGATGCCATTATGCCTAAGAAAAGTGTTTATTTCTTGCCTAGTATCATATAGTAGCTTATTTTCTTGCCTTAAAAAAAAAATGACAACTGATATTCCTGGAGCATTTACTATATGCCAAGAATCATGGTATTTTACATGTATTATTTCATATATTACAACAACTGTATGAAATGAATATTATTATTATGATTTTACCATTTTACAGATGAGAAAACTTGTCCAAGCTCACATGTGAGCTCTCAAAATCAGGCTTTAATTAAGGTTATCGTATTAAATGTGATTCAGTCACTTTTAACTGGTGATCTTTTTACTCTTCTTACTCTTTATCATCACTTATTATCTGTTGACAATGAGCTAGAGATTTCCAACCTTATTATCCTTATATCAAATGGAATAATACCTGAAAAGATTTATATGTATAGACATGAAAAGTTGCCAATGAAATAATTTCGAAATATGTGCAATATATTCTTATGCATGTAAAAATA
Source organism: Homo sapiens (assembly GCF_000001405.40). Taxonomy (NCBI): domain Eukaryota; kingdom Metazoa; phylum Chordata; class Mammalia; order Primates; family Hominidae; genus Homo; species Homo sapiens. The sequence continues at coordinate 165,880,785 of NC_000005.10, read as the reverse complement.
AAAAGTATTTATTTACATAACTGTACAAATATATAATAAAGATTATAAAGGGGGGTTACTCTTTTATTTTTTTCTTTTTTTTTTTTGAGACAGTCTCGCTCTGTCACCCAGGCTGGAGTGCAATGGCACGATCTCGGCTCATTGCAACCTCCGCCTCCCGGGTTCACACCATTCTCCTGCCTCAGCCTCCCAATTAGCTGGGACTACAGGTGCCCGCCACCACGCCTGGCTAATTTTTTGTATTTTTAGTGGAGACGGAGTTCCACCATATCGGCCAGGATGGTCTTGATCTCCTGACCTCATGATTCACCCGCCTCGGCCTCCCAAAGTGCTGGGATTACAGACTTGAGCCACCGCGCCCGGCCTAAGGGGTTATTCTTTGAGAAGACAGGAACGGAGTGGTATTAGAGTGAGATTAAAAGGAAAAATCCACTTTTTATAATAAACGCTTTTTAAAATTATTTTTTATATAAGCATTTTTTCTGGTCACTAAAAAGTCAAAATATAAAATATGTAGGCCTATCAAAGATTTTTAAGTTTGTAACACAAAACTAAAAGGGTGATAATCAAAACTGACATTTGACAATACTCTTCCAAATTCTCCCAACCTCACATCTCATACAAATTTAGAAAGTAATTTATTAATGAATGGAATAACAAAATTGGAAAATGGGAATATGATATTAATGAATGAGAAATTCTGGAGACCTTCTGAAAGAGAGTGGAATTGGTAGAACAAAATGATCAAAGGCAACTGTGACCCCAAGTATACAAAGTAAAATATTCTCGTGAATATAGAGAAGAACCATGCTCAGTGAGTGAACACTGAAGGAAAGGCAACCACTGAGCAAACAAAAAAACAACTAATCACAGAGCCACCATAAGAGCTTTCACAAGGAGCCCCTGTGCCAAGCAAAGGAATTAGCCATGGCAAAATATGCCCCAAGTATGATGCAGTAAGAATTGGCACTGGGGCAGGAGAGGCAAGGAAAGGTCCTGCACAATAATGAATTCAGGCAGGGCAGGGATCCATATCCAACTAGAAACATCAAAACATCATCTTTTTTAGCAGTTCTCATCTGAGCATGGCTTTGATAAAAGCAGAGGTTCTCAAATAGAAGAATGAATAGAAAACCAAAGATTCTCAAATATTTGAACAAAATCAAAACCATAAAACAGAGGCAAAAAGATCTGAAAATGGAAAGATTAATATCTCAAAGTTATGTTAATTATAGTAAGTATAACTGACAGAGTCAGAGGGACTTAAGAGTCAGAGGGACTTTAAATCTTAAAAAAGAGAAAAAAAATAGTATCTCATTGGTAAGCACATAGTCTCAAAGTAGGCGTCACAACAAGTAAAGGAGACATTAAATTTTGATCTCTTTGGCCTTTCCTGTTCTACATGTGAGATAGGGGTATAGGGAAGGGAAAAAAAAACATGATTGCAAAGGTGCAAACCTGCTTCTTGCAAAAGATAGGCAATGCTTCTCCAATCATAGCAAGGTAATACACTTTGCCTCTTCTGAAATACAATAGTTTTCTCTTCTTTAATCACCTCTCTTCACTTGAGGACGAAGTCCATTCCTTTAGCTTACTCAGGGATATTGCCCCACAATTCTATCTTTCAAAAACCTTTCTCTAACGACCAATGATGATGAGCATTTATTCATATGTCTGTTGGCTGCATAAATGTCTTCTTTTGAGAAGTGTCTGTTCATATCCTTTCCCCATTTGTTGATGGGGTTGTTTTTTCTTGTAAATTTGTTTAAGTTCTTTGTAGATTTTGGATATTAGCCCTTTGTCAGATGGATAGATTGCAAAAATGTTCTTCCATTCTGTAGGTTGCCTGTTCACTCTGATGATAGTTTCTTTTGCTGTGCAGAAGCTCTTTAGTTTAATGAGATCCCATTTGTCTATTTTGGCTTTTGTTGCCATTGCTTTTGGTGTTTTAGACATGAAGTCTTTTCCCATGCCTATGTTCTGAATGGTATTGCCCAGGTTTTCTTCTAGGATTTTATTTCAAGTCAGTTAGAATGGCGATCATTAAAAAGTCAGGAAACAACAGATGCAGGAGAGGTTGCGGAAAAATAGGAATGCCTTTACACTGTTGGTGGGAGTATAAATTAGTTCAACCATTGTGAAACACAGTGTGGTGATTCCTCAAGGATCTGGAACTATAAATACCATTTGACCCAGCAATCCCATTACTGGGCATATACCCAAAGAATTATACATCATTCTATGATAAAGACACATGCACATGCATGTTTACTGCAGCTCTATTCATAACAGCAAAGACTTGGAACCAACCCAAATGTCCATCAATGATAGACTGGATTAAGAAAATGTGGCACATATATACCATGGAATACTATGCAGCCATAAAAAAGGATGAGTTCATGTCCTTTGCAGGGACATGGATGAAACTGGAAACCATCATTCTCGGCAAACAATCACAAGATCAGAAAACCAAACACCACATGTTCTCACTCATAAGTGGGAGTTGAACAATGAGAACACATGGACACAGGGAGGGGGACATCACACACCGGGACCTGTTGGGGGGCGGGGGGAAAGGGGAGGGATAACATTAGGAGAAATACTTAATGTAGGTGACGGGTTGATGGGTGCAGCAAACCACCATGACACTGTATACCTATGTAACAAAACTGCATATTCTGCACATGTAACCCAGAACTTGAAGTATTAATAAGAAAAAAAAACCTTTCAATTGTCAACACAGCCTCATTTCAAGGAGTTAACAGCAACTCCTTGGAAAGAATAATGAATATGCCTTTGTTTCTATTGAACTCACTCCATCAGGCTTTCACCACTGTCATGAACACTGGTTAACTCTTGTCACTGTCACCATATAGCAAGTTCTCCACATTGCTAAATCCAATGCAAGCCTTCCAGGGCTCATCTTATTTGATGGACTGCATTTCTTAGGGCTGATTCCTCCCTGCCTCAAAACCCTTGCCTTCCATGAAATCAGAATACCCTGACTCTTCCCCTTCTTCATCGGACACTCTGTCTCAATCTCTTTGAATGGTTTCTCTTCCTTACCCCAGCAATTAAATGTAGAAGTGCCTAACAGTTTCACTTTTCAGTTTCAGCTCTTCTTTCTCTGCATTCTCTTCTTAGGTGATCTTGTATAGTCTTGGGGGCTTTTTCATACTCTCCAGAAAATCTCAAATATTTATAGAGTCCAGATGTCTCCCATGAGCTACGGACTCCTTTATCTAACTGCTATTTGACTTTGCTCTAATACGTGTTACTGGCTACTCAAATTTAAGATGCCTACAAGTAAACTTCTGATTTATCTCATAAAAACTTGCTTTATCCACAGATTTTTCTGAGCTCAGATCATGGAAAATTTTGTCCTTCCATTATTCGGGCAAAATCTTTGACATCATCCTAGAATTCTCTCTTTCCCTCTCACCACACAACCAGTCTGTTTGCAAATCCTGATTCTACCCTCAAATTCAAGCATTTTTCACTACCTTGAATGCCACACTCTTGTCTAAGGCACCTTTAAGTCTCCCCTAACTTCCTAATTGTCCTCTTAGTTGAATTGTCTTTGTTCCCTTCCTCTCTTTCCCTCCCAAACACCCTCCTACCCATGCCATCATCCAAGCCTATTCTCAACCCAGCAAGATGGAAAGAATCTTCTAATAAAAATCTCTGTCAGATCATAGCACTTTTATCTTCAAAGCCCACCAAAGGTTTTCCTTCTCACTCAGAGTCAAAGCTGGTGCTGCTGCCATGGCTCTCAAGCCACCCTGTGGTCTGCCTACCACAGCTAAATGACCATACTTTCCCTTACTCAAAGTTTCCCAGCCACCTCAACCCCTGGCTATTACTGGATTATAGGAAGAGTGCTCTTTCCTTGGAGCATTTGCAATTGTCCTTCCTTCTGTGGAGCACTCATTTCCTAGACATCCACATGGCTCTCCCCACTGCTTTCACATCCTGCCTCAAATGTCATCTAATCAGGGAAGCCCTGTCTGATCTTATAAAATAACAGCCTCTGGCTGCCCTTCCTGGTTCTCTCCATTTACTTTATTATTATGTGTTGACATACAATGTGTTTGCCTTCTTTTTTATTGTTTTATTCCTGACTAGCCTCAATGAGAACAGGAACTGTCTATTTTGTTCATTGAAATCATCTCACTGTCTTGAACAGTGCTTGGCAGAGTGTAGGTGCCTAATAAATATTTCATACTTGAATAGACAATTGGCTTATTGTTATTAAGCCAGATTTATCCAACTTGTTTTTAAAACCATTAAACTAACTTGTTTTAAGCATACCTGGAACAGCCACACAAATGGATGGTGTATGAAACCACAAAGGACTATTTTAAGAAACCCCAAAGAGCAGAGATCATAAAGGCTGCATTATCTAAAAACAATGCAATAAAAATAGAAATTAACAATAAATGACCTTGAACAGTGAAAAATAAATGTATCCACGTGAAAACTTGAAAATACCCATTAACTCAATTAAAATGAGGAAAAATCACTATAATCTTGAACAATTTACAAATAAAAGACAATAAAAGTACTGTATGAGATTCAGCCAAAGTAGCATCTAGAAGTAAACCTGAAGCCAGAAAATGACACACTAGAAGAATTTTAACTTTGAAAAACAAATCATATGACTTGAGAGGCTGAAAAATAACAAAAAAGAAAACAAAGTAGTCAATAACAGAAATTAACAAAGATGAAAACACTATTTATTGAAATTTAAATTAAGGGAAATTCAGTTGATTAATGAAACCAAAATTTTCCACTTTGAAAGGTTTAGAATGTTATCAACATGTCTGAGTAAGAAAAAAGAGGGATAATACATGAGACATAAAAATGAAATTATAAATAAAAACAATATCCTAGTGAATTTGAGTGTTACTGTTCAATGACTATATTTATGATGAAGAACAATAGGAAACAGAGGCAGAGTAAACAACTAGGAAGTTATTTCCAAGCAAGGAGAGAAGTGATTGTTGAAGCTTAGGTGAGAATGGTAGCTCCAAGGAGGTAGAAAGGGTTGAGGGGTGAACTAGAAAACTAAGTAAAAGTAGGTGATTGATTGGGTGAAGAGGTTAAAGAGAAATATATCTCTCTACTTGCCACCTTTCACTTTGCAACCTCGTTCTAATTGCGACTGAGAGGGGTGAAGACAAAGACTGGTAATTTATTTTCAGTTCTTGAAATTTGCTCAACACCTACCATTAACGTGAATATTTCAATTACCCCAAGCTCATTAGGCTCTTAAAAATGGGAGACCTGATGAGAATGTACCCTTTTAAAAACTTTTAAGGGTCTATTTTCCATTTGTATGTGGGGTTTAGATTTTGCCCGGATTTCTGTGTCTGGAATAGCTCCCCAAGAAAGTTTAAGAAGTCAGTGATAACTTCATTAGGTACATGGGAAGTTCATTGACTTAATTAATGAAATTACTATTGAGATCTAAATTTGAAAGTTACCAAATACTTGACAGGTTATTTGAATTACTACATTTGCAAGTCCTAATAAGCATAGTAATTCTTCACAAAAGCATGAGGAGAATGATTTGGGAGTTTGGGCTTAAAATTGATAGGTACAGATGATATAAAGTAAGTAAAAAAAAATAGTATTAGAAATTTCAACAACAATACTGTCTTCCAGGACATTACTCATTCCTGTATTTTTTCCATAACTGGATTCTCCTTTCCAGACCATTTGCTCATTCTTTTCCATTTCCGCAGCATCCAAAGTTTCATGACCCTCAGTTCTCAGACCGTGAACCTCATCTCTAACTACACATTCATTCCTTTGGCATACTCATCCATTTTCATGGATTTAAGTATTCTATGCTATAAAATCTTCCACATTTATTAGTCCACCCTGAACCTCTCCCCTGCATTTCAGAATCACATGCCTAACTGTCCACTTGATATATTTCTGTGAAATCTAATTGGCATTTCAAATGTATCATATCCCAAACTCAACTTTTTGGTTTTACCTCCTTACACCTGTTCCTCCCACAGTGTTCCCCATCTCAGTGGACAACTACTCTTGAGTTTCTAGCTGTTTAGGCCAAACGGCCTTGGAATCATTCTTGTTTCCTCTTTCCCACACCTCACATTCATTCCTTAGCAAAGCCCATTGCTTTTTTATTTTCAAAATCTATGCCTTCTCAGCATGTCCCTGTTACCACTCTGTTCCAATCCAACATCATCTTTCATTTAGATTTTTTTTTTTTTTTGAGACGGAGTTTTGCTCCTGTTGCCCAGGCTGGACTGCAATGGCACGATCTTGGCTCACTGCAACTGTTGCCTCCCAGGTTCAAGTGATTCTCCTGCCTCAGACTCCGGAGTAGTTGGAATTTCAGGCATGCGCCACCACGCCCGGCTAATTTTGCATTTTTAGTAGAGATGGGGTTTCTCCATGTTGGTCAGGCTGGTCTCAAACTCCCGACCTCAGGTGATCTGCCCACACTGGCATCCCAAAGTACTGGGATTACAGGTATGAGCCACTGAGCCTGGCCTCTTTTAGATTTTTTAGCAGCCTTTCCACTGGCCTTTCAGCTTCTCCATTTCCCCTTCTGTGTCCACTTTCCTATAGTCTATGCTCAATTCAGCAGCCGGAGTTATTCTCTTAATATATACGTCGTTCCATCCGGTTCGCTTTACCAAAGCCCTCTAATATCTTCTCCACTCAATTTAAGAAAAACTAAAATCATTATTAGTACATAATATTTGCACACATTTATGGGGGCACCTGTGATATTTTGTTCCATGCATAGAGTGTGTAATGCTCAACTCAGGGTAAAATCTTTGCAGTACTTCAAAAAGCTCTATGTAATCTGGCTCTACATTAGCTCTCTGTCTTTATTTCCTGCTAATTCCTCCCCAGACCACTCTGCTGCTCCTCAATTCAGGGCATTTTCAATGCTGTCCCTTTTTCTGAAACTATTCTTCTGCAGATTGGGTGATTGCTCAGCTGTCATTTTTAAATGATGCTTTTCCTTTTTCTACCCTATGAAAAGCTGTACTTTCTATACCTTGACATCCTCTCTCCTCCCCTATTTTATTGTTTTTTTTTTATAGCAATTATCACCATTAGACATCCTAGTTTTGTTGTGTGAATGAATAAATGTAATGAATTGGAATCATTCATTCTTGGATGAGGAGATTGAAGCTACATGGCTTCATGAGACTTCAGCTTGGTGTGCCTCAGTCTATTCATATATCACTGGTACTCATAAAATAAAGGCTTTTCTGTAGAGATTAAATATAAAATAATTGGTAAACTGAATACTACCAGATCAACCAGATCACAATTGCCCTCTTCCCCTTATTGCATTAGAGAAAAATGTGTATGATACTTGAAATCTAATTATTTTAGTTTTTCTATGGCATTAATGATGTTTCACAAGAACTACCAAATTTCCAATTAGGAAAAGTTATCACATTAATTATTCTAAATGAGTAATCTAATTGTGAGTTACATGAAGATAGCAACATTTTGATAATTTTACTATATACTCTAGTTTTATCAGTATGACCAGAATGACATACAATGTATGAGTGACATGAGGCCCTGGGTATAAGGGTTGCCTTTCTTCTTTGGGTCTACCTTATTTATTTTAAGATCCTGAGCAAGAGTCCTTTAACCATGGAGAGACATACTAAAAGTCATCATCGTATGCTAAATGTTTTGTTTGTTTGTTTTGTTTGTTTTTTAAGTGAGAGGAATTGCAGTAATAACAGTTTATGTTTATGCAGGACTTATAAATATTTTCATATTCTGAAATCTGAAGTGATGGTCTGACGCTAACTAACCTCTCTACGATTCAGTTTGCTCATCTCAGAAATAAGAGAAGTAGACTTGATAGCCATATGGTTCTAGGATGGGGGATATGCTGGTCCTAACACTCCCTAATGCCAAATTTTTACAAATTCCGTTCATCCTCCTGTGCAATGTTTACACCAGTTGGACTTTACATATAGATAGCCCAAACATTTGCAAATTCAGCAATGTTGTCTTATTGTACCCTTCCTACTCCCTACTTAATAAAACTTTCTGGGTCTGAAGACTGCTGAGAAGTTACTCCCAAGACTTTGCTCTTCTTCTGGTAATTTAATCTTCTTAGCTCTTCTTCATAATTCAATTTTGTCAATCTTTTCTTCAGGGGAATTTAAAATTTACTACCATAACTACTTAATAGGCTGCTTCTCGTGATAAGGGGATAAGAAATTTACTTTTGGGGACATGTGCTGACTTCCTCATGGGTACCATTTAGTCTACTTACTGCTGACCTCAGGATTCTGTAACTTCAAATGTTAATGATTTCTGAAATGTGAGGACTTCTTAACCTCTCACTGAAGATTCACCTGAAAAGTATGTCACAACAGCTAAGTATGTAATACATGTTCCTTTAGTGTTTTTCTCCTAAACAACTATAACCTTCCATTTTCAAAATGATCAACTATTCCCATTAACTATTTTGGTTTAAAATGCACTAAAATAAAGACATTTTATAGCTACATATACAAGTAGGGTTATTTAGCATAGTTACAGGTTATAAAATAATGTTTATGGCTGGCTATGAGCCACGGGAGTCATGTGACATATCTATTTTACTTTACACATCTATATGTGCCAGATATTATACTGATGAGAAATATAGAAATATATTAGGTACTGTATAAAACTAAATGTACTAGGACATAAAGAGTGATATAAGACAACGAATATATTCTGTGGGAATAACACATTCTTATTATGAGTATAAAGGAGATAGAAGAATTTTAATTGGGTCTTAAGGAAAGAAAAGAAATGCAGTTGGCAGAGATGGGCATTGCAGGGAAAGGCATTGTGGAATTAGGAATTGCATGGACAGAGTATAAAAATAATTTACTATAGCTAAAATTTAGATTATTCATATTACTAGCAGTAATGCTAGTTGCTGTAGGAAACCCAAACTCTGAACAATTTACCACCATAACGCTTATTTCTTTTTCATATCACAGTCTAAGATGGGTCCCTGTGTGACTTCTATCCCATGCAGTCCTTCAGAGACCAAGGTTTATTCCATGTGGTTACTCCACCTGCCCCTGTTCAAGGGCGTTAGAATCTTTCATGAGATTCTCTACATCTAATATTATAAGCAAAGGCATAATAGTTCATGAATGATCATGTGAGAATTGAGAAAGGTCATGTCTAGAACTGGTTTACACCACTTTCACCTGCCTCCAATTGGCCTAAACACAGAGTGTTATTTCCCTCAACAGCAAGAGGCTGGTAGATGCAGTGTGCTGGGGACAAGAGGTGAAACCTGATATTGAGCACAGCATTCTCTGCCACAGTGCACTCACGGAGAGAATAGATATTTAGTAGAAAAAAAAAAACAGCAGGTTCTAGTCAGATCATGGAAGAGATTTTGAATTTACCCTGTAGGTTATAGGAAAAATGACCATTGCCTCAAAGAATAAATAAACTACCAAATCTCTTTCTTTCAATTATATCTAATTATTCCTTTTTGTTCTACTTTAAGCAACAAAGATTTAAAAAAGAGAAGAGAATGAAGCTATTTTTAGACCATCATCAAATGTATATACACTATTATAAATTTGCATGTCTGAGGTATTCATGTCATTAGACAAGAGGCATTAAAATATAAGGTGCATTGATATAAGACCTTGGTATTTTGAATCCAAGGTGATTTATTTTCATAGGGTCTGGATGACATTGTAAATGAATACAAATGGGTGATGGAATGTGCAGTGCGGAAGATTACAACTCTAATGAAAGTTGATGCAATAATCATGTCATTTTAAATGCTCTATTAATTGCAAGATTCAGTTTCAAGAGGAGAAGCTTCACTTACTTGTGAGATGCTATTGGTCTGTCAACAATTTCATACCAGTTTAGCTGCTTCTATTTGACATAAAAGAATTTCTGGATAGTAATATGCCATAGATTCTGTAATGGGATGAGCCCAATTCAGCCCTTTCACACAAAGGATAGAACCAACTCTAAGACTTTCTGAGAGGTGAAAATGAGAGGAAAAAGGAATGAGCCAAAGCAAAAGAGAAATACAAGAGATCCAATTCACTCTATTTGCTTCAGTTTTCTGTGTCGTCCTCTGATCTTCACTGTAAGAGGACAGGCTGTCTAGTGTGTGCAGCCAATTTATTAAATGGGACAAACTTCTTAGGGTGCAAGCAAAAAACAGCTTTAGTTTTTCTCCCACCACTGTGTTCAAATATGCAGCCTTGTCCCCTGCATTAATCAGGGTTCTACAGAGAAACAGAACTGATAGAATGTGCAAATATATGCAGAGATTCATTTTAATGAATTGACTCATGTGATTTTAGAAGGTAGCAAGTCAAAATTTTGCAGGGTGGGTCAGCGAACTGGAGACCCAGAGAAGAGCAATTACGCGTCTAAAGGTCAACAGAATGGAGACCTAGGAGAAAGCCAATGTTGCCGCTCAAGTTCAAATGCCAACTACTGCAGAATTCACTCTTGCTAGGGGAAGGTCAGTCTTTTTGTTGTATTCAGGCCTTTGACTAATCGGATGAGGGCCCACCCACATTATGGAGGGCAATCTGTATCACTCAAAGTCCACACTTAAGCTAATTTCATCCAAAAACACCCTCACAAAAACATTCAGAATAAAGTTTGGTGACCTATCTTGGGATGACAACTTGGCAACGCTGGCACATAAAATTAAGCATTGTACTTCCCTTTTCTTTGATTTTCAGCAATGGATAGCTTACACTCATTTTCAGTTCTAGGACATTCTCATGTGTAGACAGTAAAATATCCAATCCAAAATTCAATTTTACATTCCTTTAACTTGGATCTGACCAGAGTCTTGAGAACTCACAGAAAGAAAGTGAGCTTGTCATAGGGCTGTCCTTTTATTTTCCTATGTTCCCACATTTCTCTAGGAATTACTACCCTTCCATCCCTTCCCCACATTCACTATAACCCCATTCACCTCTCAGAAAGTTCTATGTTATCTGGAATCTATATTTAGAGCTAGGTGGTGGGATCCTGCCACCTGTCTTCCTCAGCTTTGCAATCTTAGGCTACAATTTGCAATAACAGCTTTCTTATCATTTCAAATACGTTATGTACATTACCACAGTTATACACACAGCTGTACACACACACACACACACACACACACACACACACACACACACACACCAGCCTCCAGAAGGACTACATAGGAGATATACCCCACATTTTCTTTGGGAAACTAAATGATCCATAAATAGTTTGCAGAAAAAAAGCACTGGTTCTTTGGAAATGAATCCACGCCATTGGTACTACTTTGGTTTGGCTCAATCCCAATTAAAGCATGGTTTCATACCAGCCAGAAACTATTAAACACTATGTAACTCATAAAGTTTATTCTAATGCAAAGACCCAACCACTCCATCATTTCATATTTCTATCACACATCACACATTATTCTATAATGTTACATCACTTCTGCTATATGAAGGCAATGACAAAAGTACTGACAATGTTATGAATCACGCTATGGAAAGTAATCCTGTTGAATAGTCAAATATTTCTGTTTAAAAATTCAAATATTTTACATATCTTAGTGCTTTGCAATGTGTTGCTATAACTTAGCGATTCAAAAGCAGATTAAAATATATTCAGGTCAGAGAGTCATGAGCAAAAGACTTCCATTACATTTCCAACTACCCTTTGGTACAATGTCCCTCCGCTTATGACGTTTACTGCCAGCAGTCCCCTCATGTGGGGAAGGTATATTTTCTCTAAGATACTCTCCCTGTGTGGACATCCGCATTATTCTTTTACTCTTAAATCTGTTCATATGGCATTTGCTAGGTTTTGTATGAACAAGAAAACAATAAAGAAAAATTAAAAGATCACTTGGATAAAACTTAATTTTTGATAAAAAAAGTATTACAATCAGAAAGTAGATATTAAAACAAAAAGCTACAAAAGGCAAAATGAAATGATTCTTACCCAACATCTTAGGTCTTACCCCCAAAGATGGGCACTTCTAAAGGGAAGCACATGCATTTGTTCAGAATATTGATTCTGAAGCTGATCTTCCTGGATTTGAATCTTATCTGTTTTGCTTATCACCAATACATTTTCTAGAACACATTATTTACCATCACAGAGCCCCAGTTTCCTCATCTATAAACCGCTGATCAGCCTAGGAGCCATCACAGAGAACTGTAATGAGGATTAGGTGAATTATTATGTGGAAAGCACTTAGAACGATGTCTAAAATCTTCTGAATGCCTATGAAATAAGTCATTATTACATATTCTTATAGTAAAATAACTTTTGTATGTCTTTCTAGAAAAATTATTATGCATAGTGCAGTGTAATTTTCCTTGTAAAGTCCATACAAAAATTATACAGATGTTAACCTACTAAATACATTGTTCTGTATTTTATATTTTTTCATTTAGTAATGTAGTTTGGAAAGCCTTTCATATCAGTACGTGAAAATCTACCTGAATCTTTTTCATAGATGCAAGCATTTTACTGTATACAATTATGAACCCTAATGTGTCAGACAGCCTCTCACTGATATACGTTTAAATTGCTTTCAATTTTTAATATTATGAACAGTGCTTCAGTCAAAGTAATTGTACAAATAACTTTGTGTACATTGGGAAATGTTTCTATGAGGTAAATTAATAGCTGTGCAATAGCAGAATCAAAGAATATTTTCACAAATTTCTGTAGATTTTTAAGTAAGTTCTACAAAATTATCATATGTAATTACATTTTTTAAAAAGTATATGAAAATATATTGCTCACATGTTGAAATTCTATCAAAGGACAAGACAAATAAACAGAAAACACACCTTACTTTTTGATAGAAAGGTTTATTATTGCACAGATTTAATATTTCCTCACAAAAATTTTTATATTCAATGAATATGCTAATTAAAATACCTCCGAAAATTTGTAGGAAGTAACAATATGATATTAGAATGTGTTTTAACTATTATTTTAAATTGATACATAATTGCACATATCTATATGGTATAATATTTCAGTACATCTATACAATGTATAATAATCAAATCAGGGTAACTAGCACATCCATCACCTCATTTTTTATTTCTTTATGTTGGGAACATTCAAAATCCTCTCTTCTACCTACTTGAAAATGTACAATAAATTATTGCTAACTATAGTAACCTACAGTGTTATAGAAAACTAGGACTTATTCCTTTTACGTAACTGCAAGTTTGTAGGAATGCATTTCAAGTAAAACAAAAAAAAAAACTAGGAATTAGGGTTATTCAAAAATATTTTTAAAAAATAAAAGAAAAAATAGAAAGAAATGTAAATGGCAGGCAAGAAATGTAAACCTGCCAAGAATTAAAATGCTATGAGAGGCTGTGATAGAACCCAAGACAGCAGGTTGGTTACTGGAGGAAAAGAAAATAAACACAAAAAACAGAAGGGTACCAATTTCACAGAATAGAAATAAAGATATTGGAACTAAATATATATATGAGTAACTAGCAAACAATAAGCATATCATTTAAACTGATAGAATGGTTAGATTTTTTAAAAATTGTTATTGTTTTAAATGCTAAACATTTGGAATATAATGACTCTGGAATCCTAGGTTCTTAATGCATGAAAATAATCTTAGGCATACCAATTTTAAATATGAAAACAAGAAATCATAAACACCACAGGAAAATATGTCCAGATTTACTTATAAGACTGAAACAGGGAAGGCTATACAAGGTAGACCTATTTTGCTATACAAAAACCTGTGTAGAATTAAAAACAGAAGTAATGACCTTAAAAAACGTAGGTGTAAATGCAAAAGGGAGGCAATAAGCTAGTATCTTATTTGAGATTAGAAGAGATTATTGCTTAATCTAAAAATGTGCAATTCTAATTCTGAAATCTTAATCAAGTGGAAGAAATATATTTATGCATGGGGAGCAGCCTAAGGCCACTGTGACAGTCTATGCTTCTTGGTCATGTCTTGTCAAAGCAAACTTTTTATAATTGGTATAAGATTGTGAGTAGCTAAATTCTAATGCCCCCTCTTCTAGGAACTGACAAACATACAACATTCTTGCTCAATCCATTTAAATTTAGAAATTATCAGCCTAACTACCTAACACATTTCATGTCTGATTGTGACTATTTTCAAAAGTTTGCACTATACTTGCTTCACAGACATATGATCTAAACAAATATCTTTTGCATTTTATGAGAAAACATAGCTTCATTACTGCAGAACAGCACTATTGTTATGGCTACCAGACTCAAAGAGCATTGGAAAGAAAATGATGGCCGTAAGGACCGTCTGCAGATCTAAACACATAAAATGCCTAGCCCTTTGTCTGAGAGTTTAGGTCTAAATGTTTTATTTGCTTAAGCATATATATAATTATAAATATCAAACTAGAACAAGCTATTCCTTCTTTGGATCCTATCTGAAGAAAATTTACTAAAGTAAACACAACATATTTTAGAAGAAAAAAATCAACATCCCTCTTCTAAAATGAGAGAGGTGAGATCAGAAATAAATGTCCTTTAGATTCAATCTTTAAGCTTTAGCTTTATTTTTTTTATTATTTTATACCTACTTTATGAAGACCCTGTAGGAGTCTAAAGCCTGAATCAGCTTTTATGAAATAGTATGCATCAAACTGAGATGCTCTCAGTGGGCAGATCATTTGAAGCTGGTGCTGCCAGAGGAGACACTGGTAGTTTTAGAAGCGTTTGCATTTTAGAAAACTGTTTTTTCCCACCTGACCACCAATAAATTGTGAAGTCTTCAAAACTTACGTCTGACAGAGGAAAAGAAAAAGCTATTGTGTATTTTTGAGGTCTTTCTTTTGTATGTAGGCAGAGGAGGGGGAGGACTGAGTGTATATGGAGGAAAAAACATAACAATTTATTAAAAAAAAAAAAAAAAAGGAAAAAAAAAAGAATCCTGCTCTCAACCCAAGTATATAAACAAGTCTAAAGAAGGGGGGATACTCTATGGTGGACAAATGAAGGAATTTGCATTTGGGGTTAATTTTGCAAAGTATATCGGTTTATATGGTTTATGTATGGCCAGTACTCATATTTAGATGATTTTTTTAAGGGAAGAAAATAAAAGAAAATCTACAGGCAAAGATCACCAAAAGTCTATAGCCTGTACTGTGTCACTTCAGGTGCTCCCAAAGTAGTGGGTGGAAGCCATCAATAGCAATCATACTTCCATTTAGTGAATGCTTATCAAGTGCCAGCATGACTCTCATGTGCCTTGAATGTGTTGAATCCTCACCAGAATCTTGTGTAGTTGACATTTCTAGTAATGCCACCTTACTGTTAAGAAACCAGAAGCACAGAAAAGTTGAGGAACTAGCCAAGGTCACAGTGAGTAACTGGTAGAGCCTGAATTCAAAACCAGCTAGGATCTTCCCAAACCTGAGTACGCCTAAAGACCCTCTGTACTGTGTCTGCAACCCCCTAGGGATTCATCTGTTCTGACTACTCGATGTTTGTTCCTTTAAAACTATTTTAATTAGTTTTAAGTAGGGTTAGGTTAATTAGTGTAGACAGACCCCAAAATTATCTAGTGATCTTTTAACACTTAATGAGATTTATTTTTTTAAAATTTATTATTATTATTTTTGAGACAGAGTCTCGCTCTGTTGCCCAAGCTGGAATGTAGTGGTGTGATCTCAGCTCACTGCAACCTCCGCCTCCCTGGTTCAAGCAATTCTCCTGCCTCAGCCTCCCGAGTAGCTGGGATTATAGGTACACACCGCCATGCCCGGCTAATTTTTTTGTATTTTAGTAGAGACGGGGATTCACCATGTTGGCCAGACTGGTCTCGAACTCCTGACCTCAGGCAATCCGCCCACCTAGGCCTCCCAAAGTGTTGGGATTACAGGCGTGAGCCACTGCGCCCAGTAATGCGATTTCTTTCAGAATCCCTGCCAGTTATATTGTTCAGTGTATCTACAGTTGTATAAATAAAAGATTCCATTTCTACTTCCAAAACTTATATTTTACTTTTCAGCTACAATCTAGGAATGTTTAAGTCTGTCCCCTTCTTTTGTGACTTTAATAAGAGTGTATCGTTTATAGCTCGGTATTTGCAATACCATCCATTACGGTACACCTATTCCATCTTAACGCCGCCGCGTACTGTTACAGTGAGCTCTTCTGCTTGGTACGTAATGAAAACATTATCAAATGAGTAAAAACAAAAAGCAAAAGAATGCCAGGCACCTTAAACCACATCCTCTGGTTGGCAGAAACGTGCTTTATTCACTTCTAGGTCGACAAGAGTGCCTAAAACTATAACGGTTTTCTGTCTAACTTTTAAAAATAATTAGTCCAGGGGGGATACTTAGCTGCGTGGTAGAATGTTGGCTGTGTTTTACAGCACGGTGTTTCACGGTTTAAGTATTATGATTGCTTTAGTGTAGTTGTGTCAAATGACCTTGCTATTTTACATCTTGAACAATACTAGTAGTTTGTGCTTCTTAAAGATGAGCTAAACGCTATGCCCTAGAGTATGGGAAATTGTTTGTTCTATGATATTGTTTTATTTGGAATGTATGCTTTCTCTATTTCCTTCCCTTTATTTTTCTTTTCTTTCTACCCTTCAAGCTTCTTTATCTTCCTTTTCCCAGCCCCAACCTAACCCACCAAAAAGACTTCAAAGAGGAAATCTAACCATCAGCTCTCTACGTCTGCCACTTAAGAGCTATGTTATCTTGGGTACGTTCCTTAACCTCTTGAAGCCTCAGTTTTCTTTGCAAAATCTGGATAATTTCGCGTTTCTTCAGTCTTGAAATACATGGTAATTTTTTCCTCTCATTTAATATTACTGCAAGTATGATTCATCTTGGAACTTGCTGGACATTTAGTAGGAACAGTTTTTCATTTGTCTTATGTATTTGTCCATTTTAACATCAATAACATTACATTTATAAATGCCATAGAATAAACAGAAAGCAGCATGACAGGATAGAGACAGTGTGATAGGGACTATTATTTTAGATAAGGCAATCTGGAAATACCTCCTTATGCAACTGACATTTAAGGAGAGCCCCCCACCCCCCCAAAAAAAAAGGAGAAGCAGAAGGGATCTGGGAAAAGAGGTTTAGACTAGAATTTCTCACCCTCTGTACTCCTAACATTTGAAGACAGATGAATCCTTGTTGGGTGGGGCTGACCTAGGCCTTGTAGGATATTAACCAGCCTTCTCAGCCTCTACCTACTAGATGCTAGTAACATGTTTCTAGTTGTGACAATCAAAAATTTCTGCAGATATTGCGAAATGTATGCAAGCGCCGGTCTAGACAAAAGGAATACTAAATGCAAAGCCCTTGAGGCAATGAGTTTAGCATGTTCAAGAAATGAGGCCAGGGTGGCCAGCGTAGAAGTAGCAAGGAAAAGCAGAGCAAGGAGGTGTGGGCAGAGCCACATTTGTGCAGTTTTGTGGGCAGTGATACAGGCTGGGATTTACTGTCATTTGAAGAAAAGCAATTGCTGGTTTTGAGCAGAGAGGGACTTAGGTTTAGTTTATCTAACCTCCCCTCCCTCCATTTTTTTTAATCCTTTTCTTCCTCCCTTCCTTCTCATTCCTTTCTATAGATCTTCTCAGCTATCATTATCAAACTGTCTTCTGTCTTACCGTCAGTCAATTACACGCATCGTGAAGTGTTTAATTCACCCAACTCCCAAAGGGATCCATTTTTATCCTAACCAAAATTAGTAAGGGCAAAAAAATAATTAGATTTTTGGAGCCATGTGATGACAGTGACCTCATGATGTTGATACAGGGGTGGAGCATTGCTTAGAGAAAGGTGCAGTTGGGGATAGAGACATGGCGAAACCATTCTTCAGGAAAAGAAAGAGCTCATTAGCAGTTGTAGGAGTGGACAGATTTAGGCAAAGAGAATAAGTATCGTTCTTTGTGATATGCAATACTGGCCTCTGAGCTGACTTTTAAAGGAATCATATAGTAAAGATTTATATCTTTCATGGATTTTTTTTTTGATATTTACTTTCCTTTGTTTTGATACACACAGTAGTAGGCAGATCTCAAGGTATCATGCCTGTATTAGTGTTATCTACCTACCTACCTACCTACCTATTCATTATTTTTCTAGATATGAAGAGCAATGCAAAAATAACTTTATAGATTTTAGCAAGTAAAATATGATTCTACACTATAAGTGTAATAAAAATGCATTTAACTCTGTATTTCTAATTACTCCAATCTAAATTTATATTTGAATATAACATTTAACTGCTGATTAAATTGTCTTTATCTTTATATTATGCTTTTATGTTGAAAATTACTAATTCTTGACCTTGACTACATGATAGAATTGCCTGGAAAATTTGAATATACTATCAATGCTGAGATTCTGACCCCCAATATTTTACTGTAATTGGTTTGTGCTGTGGCCTTGGCATCCAGTTTTGTTTTGTTTTGTTTTGTTTTTTAAACCTCTCCAGGTGATTACAATATATAGCCAAGGTTAAGAACCACTGGACTAAACCTTGTATCATGGGGTTTCAGATCCTATAAGCGCTCAATAAAAGTTTAGCAAATGAATAAAAATATTTCTTGAAATTCCCAGGAGGAATGCTGACATCCAGCTCATATTTTTCCAAATTATCTTTATTAAAAGAGAAAATAATACGAAAACACATTGTAAACCATAAATAAACTTACTAATGTTAGTTCTTCTTTATCTAACATTTTCAATAATGCAGTGAACATACAAAATGCTTTTAGTTTCAGCAATATTGAAAAATAAGCCTACCTTTAATGACTACACCATACCACTGTGCCAGATCATATCTACACGTGAGGAGAATGGGTTTCATGTGGAAAATTTCTTTCAGAGCAGTAAGATAATGATAATATAAGATTCTAAACAATTTTCTCACTAGGAAATTTTAGAATAAGGTGTTGGCTGGTCTTCTCTTACAGTTAACAGTACTGGATCATTTTAACAGAATGAGTATTTTAATAAGCCTATTGATAGTTCTTAATAATTGAAATGAAGCTTACAATAATGCAACTTAATAACACTATTAACAAGATTTAGAATTGACTATTTGGGGTTGCACACAGTTTTCACAGAAGCAGTACTGAATTCCATACAAAGAAGCCAACTATCATTGGAATGCTCAACAGCAGTTGAAAGCAAACCGGCCATTTGTTTTCCAGCCAATCTGATTTACGTGTAATTCATAACAGAGTAATGAGGCTTCTCACTTCATACCCGTTTCCAAGTCTCTGTTCTTGCTGAAGGACAAAAGTATTTCTAGAAGAATATCCAATATATATTAGCAAATTTGCAGAAAAAAAGCAAGTGGTTGAATATTCCACTTTTACTTAATGAATACATTAAGTAAAAAATATATTATCTTTATTCCTCTTATATTAATATATATTATATATAATGTGTTACATATTTTATATATTTCCTATTATTTATATAAGCATATATATTTCTTATTTGTATAATATACACATATACAGAAATATATATACACACATATTTCTTATTTACATAATAAATATACGTGTGTATATGTATATATATAGAGAGAGAGAGAAAGATGTTGATATATGAAATAATGATTAACAATATTTACCTCTGGGTCACTGGATTATGGTGAAATCAAGATTTTTACCTGAATTTTTGTTACATGTATGCATTATTTTACAATCAAGATATAATGCACTTATAAAAATAAAAATCAAACTCAGATACCACATGCTCACAAATAATGCATTCTTTTTCAATACTGTCGTGTATGAGAAGTTCTAATACAGTCTTCAAACTGTAGCATTCTCTTCTGACAAAATACAAAATGTAAACATACACAACAAAAAAACCAAACATGTTCACATGTTCTTAATTTCAATGGGTTTTTCAAGGGAGGGTTGAGCTGCTATTGCTTTTGTTAAAAGCATTTACTGAAAAAAAATAAAATTAAAAAAAATTTGAGATTCGAAGGAAAGATTCTTCTAGATGTATCTACTTTTAAAAATGGGTTCCTAATATATTAGGGACAAAAAAATTGTCTTGCTGACAATTACATGTCTTTGCCTTTCCTTCCAAGGAAATAACCACATTGTTAACCTAGAATACCATGTAACACATCATGTTTCTTTTCACATGGATGGAAAAATATATTCAAATGTGACTGCATATTATCATTTAGCCTTCGCTATTTTTTTTAACATGTCCTCAGAAAAAAGATTCTGACTATGAATCCTTAAAAAAATGTTCCATCCTTTCAGGCTCTCCAGTTTGACCATAATTTTGGCTATAAAAAGACTAAAAATGCCCATCTGTAATAACATTATTAATGTCATAGAATTTCTACATTACTTTCCCTGCTATTCATGAATCTAGTCAATTGTTTATAGTTTCATCACTACCTTCCCTGATCACCTCTGTTTGTTTTGATATTTGTTCAATCCCTGCTGCATATATTCATCCACTCATTTGTCTCTTATGGAGTAATTTGTCCTATTAAGGTCTTGTGTTTCGGTTCTATAGAGCATTCTTTTTTTTGCTATCATATAATCGACTCTTAGCACATATTAAAGTAATTCTCAAAATATAGTGTTTGTAGCAATCACCAGTTGATTTTGATTCCAGTGATCTGAGGGACTCACTGAGACATTGATATATTTTGTGATAATGTTACTTATAATTTCATTAAAGTATTTTTGTGGCTCAGCCAAATTATCATTTCCATCATGACAAGAATTGTATCTTGGATATCTCAGTTTCTTTTTACTGCCTGGCAACATCCTCTACCCCCTGTAGGTGTTCAATAAATATTTGATTCACTGGTAAATTATCTACTTTGTAAACACGCATCAAGAGAATAAAGTTTCTTATTATCCATCAAGAGACTGTGAGTAGGCGAGACCGCCTCTAGAGAACAGCATTATGAATCTTGTGGCACAATAGGAAGAATGCAGGACCTTGAGATCAGACAGCAAGCTAGTTACAAGATACTAAACAAAGCACCCACATTTCTGGTGCTTCCACGTGTGAAACAGGTACCACCACCTGACCTGACTCAGCGCATGAGGCTGGGTTTCAGGATATTCTGAAGTTTCTTCCTATTCCTGGATATCAGACTCTACAGATTCCTTTTGGTAATAGGAACACATCAGACTCCGTATGTGCAATTGGCAATTGTGCTTAATCTTTATCCTGCCCTTATGTAGTAGCGGAATATTTTCTCCCTCAAACAGGCAGTGTACCAAAAAAAGCAGTCTAATAAATCTGCAGGCAAGATGCCACTGAACTAAAGAATTTTTTAATGATGTCAATCAAGAGAGCTTATCTATGATGCTCACTGAACTTTAATGTAAAACCCATAATTGAAAGCTGAAGATGTGATGAGTGGAGAATATTTCCATCCAGATTAAGCCTGAAGCCAATATGCCCAGGATGACAGTCTGCTAGACTTCATTTTGAACTTCTACCTCAATGGATAATTTGACCTCGTCCAGGACAGGCCAGAAAGCAAATGGACATAGAATATGCTGTACATATTTTTAATATTATATAGCCAGTGTTATTTATTATTATAAATGTTATGAATATTTGGGGCTTATATGTGCCTACACTGGGAACGATGTATATGTATTATCTCTAATCTTCAATAACAAATCTTTTGTAGATATTAAATGTTTTACACTTAAAGAAACAGGCTTAGTGAAATTAAGTACATTACTCAAATTCCTGTAACTTTTCCAATGGCAGAGTTGAAACCAAACCCTTGTTGCTTAGCTCTAATGCTTATTTTGTCTCCCTTTCTCCATGACTGTTTCCTGAATTTGGTGAGACTTTATAGGAAAATAAAGGATTCCTGTATTTATTGCTTTGTACATGTAAATGACCAAACTACTATGTTATATGTTGCAATGTCAATCGTTACCTGTTTGTAGCACTTTGTTTACAATCAATTTTGCATATTTTACCTTATTTGATTATCACAATATGAAATCTATGGAGTAGATATTTTATTTGTAAAATATGAGAAAACTAAGGCTTAGAGAAGCCAAAACATTGGCTTGAAGACACAGAGCTAGTAAGTAGGAGAGTAATATGGATTTAGTTTTCTACTGCTGTAAATCAGATTACCACATGGGGAGTAGCTTAACTATACCCAGTGATTAGCTCACAGTTCTGGACGTCAGAAGTCTGGGCCCAGAGTGACTGGGTTCTATGGTTGGGGGAACACAAGGCTGAAACTGAGGTGTCAGCAAGACTGCATTTCTTTTTGCTGGTTCTAAGGAAGAATCTGCCTCACAGTGCTCTTGGCCAAATTCAGTTACATGTGGTTGTAGAAATGAGGTTTAATTTCCTGTGGTTGTAGAACCAAGATCCCCATTTTGACTGTGATCCAGTGGTCTCTCACAGCACCTGGAGAGCAGCTGAATTTCTCACCATGTGGCCCTGTCTACCTCCAAGCCGGGAACTGAGGACTTCTCCCATCAAATCTCCCTTGTGCTTCCAGTTTTTAGCTTTCTCTTTCTATTAGACCCAGATTTAAAGGGGTTTATGTGATTAGGTCAATCCCACTCAGATAACCTTCCTCTCTTAAAATCAACTGTGCCATAAAATATAACCTGATCATGGGAGTAAAATCCATTGTACTTATAATCCTTAGGGCTATCAATAGGGGATAAAGAGTCCAGGGAAGCATCTTAGCATTCTGCCAAGCGTTAAGTACCCACTCGAAGGTCTTGTTGGTAACATTAGTGAAGCAGATTATTTTCCTGACCCTTTCATGGGACCCACGACAGGGGTGCGCCTTGCTTAGTCAGCCTGCCATTCTCTAATCCTCACAGGAGCGAGTGCCTGAGCAAACAAGTGCAGGAACTGGAGTGAAAAAGCACTGGAACTGGCTGGCCACTTTTGGGCGCCAGCAGGAATGAACTCCATGCAAGCCCTCCAGCAGCATCCAGGCGGGGTGCCTGCGACTCCTGAAGGCATGTTGTGGTGCTCTTTTAGCTCTGCTGTCTGCAGACATCTTAAGTGTTAACAGCTCAGTGGGCCCTTTGCCTTTCTGCAGGAGGTGGCTACCCTCTGCAAGGGCAAAGGGAAAGCATGACAGCCGTTTCATCTGCAGTCATGTCTCCTGAGCTCTTGTCCAGCATCCAGGAAAAATGGGGTTGCAAGAAGGAATTGAAGGATGGTAAATGTGGGGGCTTTTATCACCAAAGAAAGTGGCTGTCAGTGGGAAGGGGAGCTTAAAAGGGGATGAGGCAGGTAGGTAATCTTCCCCTGAAGTCTGGCCATCTCTGGCTGGTTTCTTCTCTGAAGTTATACCATCAAGCTGTCCCTCTGAAGTCAAGCCACTTCTCTCTGATGTCCAGCCATAGTCCCATCTACTGGCTGAGTCTGGGTTTTTTATAGACACAGGATGGAGTGGGGCAGGCCATGGTGGTTTAGGAAAAGGCAACATTCGAGTGGAAAAACAGGGACATACGTTCTCACTTTGGGCCATGGTTTCAGGCTTTTCAGCTTGAGAGTGGGATTTTGCTGGATGCTCACCGTTTTCTGTCTAGAATTTCTCTGCTCCCTGCCCCTATCATTAGTATTATGACTCTGTCATTTACTAACCAGGTGAGAAGCTTATACTTCTCCAGGCCATCACTATTAAGGTGGGCCATGACACTTGCTGTGGCCAAGGAAATAGGAGCTGAACTAACATGTTACCATTTCTTTGCAGAAGTTTTGAAAGCCCTCGTGTGTTTGGCCAGAGTTTTTCCCTCTGTCACAAGGCCATCATATACCACAAAGGGCTGCTTGGTCAGCACGGGTCCTGGAATAAACAGACACATGGAAAAGAGCCATAGCAGAGCTGCAGCATGTGTCATGCAAGAGGAAATCAACCATTGTGGTTTTAAGCTACTGATAACTTGGAAGTACTTGTTACCTCACCATTAAAGGTAATTGATATAGACATTGGTGCCTGGAAGTGAAATATTGCTGTAAATAATAAATTTATAAATAAAAACTTGGGATTGGCTTTGCAGCCAGCTAGCAAGTGGCAAGAAAACTCAATAAATGTTGGAGGCTGGAAAGATGATGATATGTTACATAATGGTGAAACTAATTGACTGATCTGGTTAAATCATAGCAAACTGACGGATCTGGTTAAATCATGGATATATTTTTGGGTCTTACTTTCTCATCTGTAGCATACGATACCACCTCTATTTTAATACCAGAGTTATAAAGTCTTTTAGTATAGTTCTACTTTTTTAGTTCTTGAAGAATAACTTTCTCTAATGCAAATCAGATACAGCACTTAATTTTTCTATATGATAATTTATGAATAATAGTTTATGATTATTAGGCCCTTATTCTATAATAGTCTGCTAAACAATTGAGTTTGCCTTCTCACGATTTTCATGACTATCTTGCAAAGATATAAAGGAAATACAATGTAAATAGCTTTCCTGTGCCTACATATTTAGTCTGGATTTCAGCCCAAGTGATTTTATCCCAAATCCCAACTCAAATCAAATTTTTAATTCATATTTTTTCCACTCTTCTATCTCTAATATGATAGACTTGCAAATAAGGAAGAACTCTCAACAGTGGCTTCAAAACTGAGGATATTTACTTGTATGCCACACCATGATCTAGTTAAACAATCCTTTATGATGTGAAAAGAAAAAGTAAACCAAAACTGAAGAGTTTTTAAAAGTATAATTTTTCAGATCAAAACTCATGACTGAGAACCATAGATGTGGTTTTGGACAGGAGTCACCCATTGGATCATAGGCTTTTAGAAGACAAGCCCCATTTTTCTTCCCCAGAATGTTTTCTGAAACTAACTCTCACACCCGTTTTTCATCGATCACTCAAAACATGCATTTCTTACACTTAAGTTCTTACCATTTTTTTTTCAGCCACAAATGTTCCTTATTCTATGTATTTCTTTCTGTTAAAATCTGAAGCATCCCTTGACATTCTTTTCCAAAGCTGCCTCCTAAATCTCTAGGTATATCTCACTTTCCTTTGAGCTCCCATAGCACTTTAAAATTCTCTTTGACACTTCAGGCACCTGGGTAAGAGGAAAAGAATGAGGACTTTGGAGGTGGACTGTGGCCAATCCTACTTGCCTCCCCCTTACTAACCATGGGACTGTGTGTCCAGACCTTCAAGATGATTTTAAGCCTCCAATACTATCCCTGAATTTCACAGTCAGAACATCAGGTCATCACTCACAACCCATCCGCAGTCTTAGGTCTGAATTGCTCGTGCTGACATTTTCTCATGTATTGCACCAGTTGATTCCGAATCCACAATCCTCCTTCTATCTTGGGCTCCATTTGACTCCTTTAACATGATCTCACTGTACACCACTTTGTCTACACTGCATTGCCTCCTTGGCTCTAAGTAGAATCCACCCACCAGCCACCTACCTTGTTGTCTGAGAACCTAAGTAACATTTTACTCAGTCTTATGTATATTTTCCTCCCAGAAGTGGCACTTGTTCAGCACATGCCATCTGGAATGAAAACATGGTCAAGATAATAATCTTTGTTCAGTCTCAGTTTCCTCCATATTACAATGTATAAAATTCTCTGTAGTGTGATTTTGAGGATTTCTGGAGATAATGCGTGCCAAGGTCTTAGCTCAGTGTGCTTTGCACATAACAAGCACTCATTAAATACGAGCTTCTGCCTCCATCCCCACTCTTACTCTATCCTGTATTAAAGTAATTTGCTTCATTCAATACTTATGCCTTGCCTTTCTCCCATTCTGCAAAATGATTTTAAGTGCCTCAGAAGTAGTTCTCAATCTTATTAATCTCAATATATGTGATAGTGCTTAAGCATGTGTTTTATATTGTTGTATTAAATTTACTGGAACACATACACTATACGCTGAGTAGCATAAATGAATATGAGGAAGAATAGGGCCTGGTCTGTACTGTCTTAGAAGTTATAGTCTATTGGGATTATGAATTGATACAAATAAAGAGAAAAGAAAATGACTCTTTTAAGAAGAGGGTTCAGGGACATTTTTTGAAGTACTGAGAAATGTGGCTATTCAGGGATGTAATATAATAACGACCCAGACGACCAGAAAAGATGTGACAGATCAATAAGAATATTAGTGAGAATCAATATAAGTTTCAGACACAATACAAATTCATATAGAAAATATGGGGTGGTAGTTTCATCTGCCATTGGAAAAATTGGACTGCTTCAGGCACAGCTAGATCCAGGGTCTCAGTCTTAACCTGATAGGTTTGTCTTTTTCCATATGTCTGTGATTTTCCCTGAATGAATGTTTTCTTAGAAGAGATGCTCTACAAGGCAGGAAAGATGGCTGTAAGTTAAACTACCAGGAAGAAAAAGTCATTCTGATGATGTCAACATCTTGAGGAGGACTCTAACTGATTCAGTTTGAGTTGCATATTCATCTCCAAACAATTACTATGGTCAGAGGGAGGAGGCATCTCTGAGCACTTCTGCTAGATCTGGGGGTAGCAGAAGCCCACTTGAATTACATGAGCAGAAGAAAAAGAGTGTTAGGGAAGCTGAGAAGACAAAACTGGAGTTTCCATTATTTAGGATCCATGTCGTGGCTCAAAGAACTAACGGCAAAGAGAATGGAGTGTTTCTGGTAGGAAGAACGACAAATCAAAAAGCAGAGAGAGGGGAAACAAACTTGGCCCATTTACATAACATTAAGAAAGATGGACTGGGCGTGATGGCTCACGCCTGTAATCCCAGTACTTTGAGAGGCTGAGGCGGATACATCACGAGGTCAGGAGATCAAGACCACCCTGGCCAACATAGTGAAACCCCGTCTCTAGTAAAAATACAAAAATTAGCTGAGTGTGGTGGCGTGCACCTGTAATCCCAGCTACTTGGAAGGCTGAGGCAGGAGAATCGCTTGAACCTGGGAGGCGGAGATTGCAGTGAGCCAAGATTGGCCAAGGTTGCACCACCGCACTCCAGCCTGGTGACAGAGCAAGACTCCATCTCAAAAAAAAAAAAAGGAAAAGAAAGATGGCCAAATATAGTGTGAAATTCAATAGAACTTAGTAAACGGAACTAAGGAATTGGAGACAGGTAAAACTTGGTTTAAATTCTTAACTTTGCTATTCATTGATCTTTATGTCTTGGGCAAGATATTTAACTGCTCAGAACCTTAGTTTCTTTATCTGTTCCATGGGGATAACACTGTGTATATCCTAGAGTCATTCGTTAGCACATGAGATAATGTGTCTAAAGCTTCTGGTGCAATCTCTGAAATGCAATATTTAGCAGCATTAGTAAAAATCAAATGACAAAATAATGATAAGGATGATCAAAATCAGAGGAGTTTGTTTTGGGAAATAGTGGGTACCAGACGGCAATCTCTAGAAAAAGTCAACACCCTCCCCTGGGTCACCCGGCTAAGTTTTGTTACAGTCATTGTGAATCTTTTTCTCCTACTGGTATGGCACCACCAGTTAGAAGGGCATCTGGAGGTAACACTAAGGTCATCTTGCCCTTGAGCAGCAACACAGATTTGGCGAAGTTGGAAAGCAGAAAGCAAGTAGGGGCTTATAATCTACGACTCAGAATTTTGTTTTTCCTCAGAATAACTTTAATCATAATCTCTTCTGGCTTTCATTTGACAGAGAAATTGGAGAGAAAAGGAGGAATGGGCATATTATCCAGTGAATCCCATTTGCCACTGCATTCATAGATCACCATATGTTCATCATTTATATAAAACCTATTTTAAGCTCATTTTGCATGCATGCCCCCAAATTATTTCCAACTTATATAACTATAAAAAATTTAGTTTTTAACAAACCCTTTTAGGGGTATAGCTTTAAACCTTTTATTGCTCTTAATCTAATTTGTTTATTTCACTTTTATTTTTCACAATTTTCTTATTGATGGCTTTTCGAGTATTATTCTCAGGCACTTGGACTGATTCTCCATGATAACCATTCTTAAATCTGGGGTGAACAAATGTATACGAATCTGCATATAATTAACAATATGAAAAAACACAGGTTACACTTAGAAATAATATGAAACATTAAATGGCACTGTGACTTGTTAGGTGGCTACCATTCCTCACTGTGAAATGTAAGGAAAAACTTAATCTTTTATATGAAGTATCATCTGTTACCAACGCAAACTAAGTTTTACTTGTCCTTTATTATTGTCCATTTCTAGAACATATAGACTTTTCAAATTAATTTATCTAGTGTCCTCTTCGAATATAGGGAAAAACAGAAAAAAAATCTGTATAGTGTAGTCAGAATATATTGTTTGTATTGGACACATCCGTCACATGGGTTAATCTACATTCTGAGCCCAAAACTACAATTACACCGTTTACACTTCTACTTTATCTTTACAGTAAGTGTTTGTCTTTACAAGGAATTCTAGAATTATTAAGGCAATTAACAGTTCAATATTTAAAATATTTTTGCTATAATGGGCTCAAACTCTATTTAAGAGAAAAAAACATCAATTACTTTTTAAATTATTGGTAAAATTGTTGAATTTCTCCCCAATAATATACGCAGGTTTAATTTAAGTCTTATAAACATGAAGCACATTAAGTCAGACACCCCAAATGCAAGCCCAGATCATGTTCATTTCGGAAGGTCAGAAAATCTCATTTTGGTAGACATGCATCATCTGTGATGATGCCTTGATTAAAGTGACCCTAAAGGGGCAAATGTGCATTTGGGTTTTGGAACGAGCTTATCATTACTTCTGCAGAAGTGAAGTAATCAAGACTTTTATCACTTCTTCTTCCTCCCATAGATCTTTAGAAGGAACACTGTGGTAGTGGATATTCACATTAAAAGAGAAACAACAGGAGGAAAAGGCACCCGACAAAGGGAAATATTTTCGAGTCAAATTTTCCTGCACCTAACTAGCAAGCTTAAAATGAATAGGCTTAATACCCTTAAGACAGTAATATTTCAAAACACATTTATGTATATTAATTTAAACTTTATCAAGAAACAGAAAATAGATAGGAGTGTGGGAAAACCAAGGCATGAGTGAATGAGTTACCTGTATCCACCTTCACAAGTTTCTTCAATTCTAATTATCACACGAGACACTGTCTATCCACTGTCATGTGCATGGGGTGAGGATCCTAGGTCCCCTGAACTTGCTAGCATTTCCTAGTGGCCTCATAGGCATCCATGAACTACGAGGCATTAACAATATTCAAAAATCTTTTTGAAAAAAATGGTGGTAAAATTCACATAACATTTGACAGTGATTGTCAGTGATGTTAAGAGACACAGAACACAAATACCTGGGTTTGCAGAAGCTGCTTTACTAGAATGTACATTTAATGAGGGCAGTGACTATACCCCTAAACAATGCCTGGCACAGTCTGTACACGCAATAAATATTTACTAAATGCTTTAAGGAAAACTCTTTTCTACATCATACTTGCACCGTCAAAGCCCGTAACCTCTAGCAGTACACATTCCCCTTTCTACCTTAGCTTCTTCATCCAGCGGATTTAAACGTAACTGTATCATTTTCTAAGACCACATGCAAAGTATTACACATTAAGTCATAAGATGGAAATAAAGATTAAATTATAAATGAGAGCTGGTGAAGGACAACAACACAGGAAGCTACAAACTGAGTGACATTTTAAACAGATTCCTTGATTACAATGTTTTATGTGGAAGAGGTGGAAGGCTATATCACTTCTAAGCCTTTAAAACAGCAATGCTTAAATAACTAGCTTTGAAAGACTAACAATGGATTTTAGCTCTATCCCTGCAACAGCATAACAATGTCATAGACACACAAAAAATAAGCTGAAGGCCCCATTGAAATATTTGCATCTTAGAGATCTTCTAAAAAGCTATGTGAGCACAAAAGATGCCACTGCTGTTCCAACACATGAGCCTTTGATGTTCCCTCATCTTTATATCATAGAAGGAGCTCAAAGGGTTAATTAAAATTTAATGATATCGGCAGTACTTTGAAAAAGTTATGAACGTGGGTGAGATCAATCACTTTCTTGGACTGCCTGACTTCAAAGCAGACATTATGCAAAAGGAGAGAGGGGGAAAACTGCTCCAATTCTGAACTGAATTCATAAGCAAGGATTTTCTCATTAGTGGTCTGTACATGGAGGAGATTCCAAGTTCAAACTAAAAAGAGGTGAGATGCAAAAAAGTGGTTAATCTGAATGTTAAGCCTTTGATGCGGATCGCATTTATATTTGAATGAACACGTTACCAGAAGCATCGAAACACTGAAAGACCCCAAATCAGGAATCTTGGGATTAAGGGGGATAAACGGCTTTTTTTCTTTATTTCTGGTTTTGGAATCCCATTTTGTTTGCCTGGATTTAGCAAAAGAAGAAACAAAGAAAACTAAACTAATTAACTTGTTTATGCATTCCAGTGACATTCTATAGAATGACATTTAAAATGACTAATCTAAACTTCTGTCAAAATGTAAACTTTTGGCTCTCTCCTAGGTTTTTTCTCTACCTGTGTTATCATTACCTAAGTTTCCTAACTATAATTCTCTTTTCCTCTGAAATTCATTTGTGTATAAGTATAAAGAATTTTTTTTTCCCAGCAAAAGGCAAATAATTCTTTTGAGACACATGAAGCATGCTTAATTTAGGGTTATATCTTGAGGTGGGAATGGTCGTTTTGACATAAATTATAAACGTAGGAGATAGTCTGCTTTCAAACCATTATGAACTGTCACTAGAAACCAGGGAAACAGGAAATGCTCCCAAACTGGTTCTGAAAAGACCACATTTAACTGTTCCTATCTAGTGATACCTTTTCCTAAACATGTGGGCGGCAAATGTTTGTGGAGGATTAAGAAAGGAAATTAGCAGAATTATGTATATATTTGGAAGTGAAAATTACATGAGATGTCTATTTGTGAAAGATTGTGAGAAAAGAAATAGTTGTATATGTTCTCATCTGTCACAATGTTAATAGAAAAACCAAATTATAAAAGTGCCCAATTTGGGAAAACTTTAAAATACGCTGGTTTCCTCCAATACATTTTTTCTCTCAAGATATTTCTTCTAAGACAGAATAATGGGGTTTCTATGAGATCCTAAGCTCACATGGTCTGGTGGATTCTGTTGGAAAACTCCCAACATGATCATACAGCAGTTCACGAGAGGAGCTTGCAATACTGATGTTTGTATCTATTCAGAAAATTAACAATCTTCTGAATTTATTCTGTTTGTAAACTGCAGAATCTTCCCTGGACTCTTACAGAACCAATAATTATCCTGTCAGCTGCCTTTTTTTGTAATGTGATTAAATAAAACAGGAATTATACTCAATATTTGGAGTTTTATCTCTCTTTGTAGTTGTGTTTTGATCTTAAGCAAGGAAGTCCTACAATACCCAAAAGATAAATCTGGGGTAACAGATCCAGATCCCTTGAGAGGTTCTACAGGTAATGTGCACGGGTCAGGTGTAGGACAATGGCAAGTGGGCGGAGGGCTGATAGCTCAGCTCAATTCTCCCACATTTTATAAATTTAAAATTGCTATCATTGCCTAATAAAACATATCGGGTGGTAAGATTCAGCCGGGAGCCATCTGTTCAGATCCTTGGAACTACAGTTAATTTTTCCTGAATTAAATACAGAGATTATGAGAGATAACAAACTTTGATGCTCTCCCCATTTTCAGACAATAGACAAAACACTTCCCCTCACAAATATTGTTTATCCACAGCTATCCTGTGGTTCATTAGGAAGCGATAGCAAGTATCCGTTTAGCTATTCCTTCTTTATAATCTCAAACTAAAATACCCTCAATACAACACTTTTTTTGTTCCCATGTCTTTGTATTTGTTTTTTTTTTTTTAAATGTAAAAACAAAATAACTTGTCTTTCTTTCCTTTTATCCTTCCTTCTTCACATTAATGGCCACTGTCCTTATTATATCAATTTTTATTTATTTTCATTCATTTCTGAACATTTTTAACATCCTAATTTACATAGGTAAATGATCTGATAGACAAAAAGGGACTATGGTAAAAACAGCATAAGATAAATACCTCAGAATTTTGACAGGTTCAAGGGTGAGGAGGAAGAGATGAGGGTATATAGGTTATAGTTTTGAATTGGGCGAATATGGAGGGCAATAGTGAGAATGTGATATTTAAGTAAAGATCTGGAAACAGTGGAGAAGTCAGTCAAATAACATTCAAGGACAAGAGCATTCCAGACCAAAAGAGCATGCAAAGCACTGAAGAGTAGAATTCGGCTGCTACATTCAAGTTGGAGAAGCTACTGCAGGCACAGGAGGCAAGGAGAAAGTCCATGCATCAGGGCTCTGCATCAATTCATATTTCAATGCACCTTTAGCAGAGCTATTTGATATTAGCCTTGTTAGTTTCCTATTTTTTGCCTCTGTCTTACCATTCATCTAGTGTTCCCCCATCTCCTTACCTTAGCCCTGTTTTCTTTGCTTACATTTCCCTCTAATATGAATCTCAAATACGGCATAAAGATTAAGACTTCTTTTTAAATCTTTTCATTTTTATTTTCACAAAGAAAAGTATCAGTATAAAATGATGCCAACAAACAAAAGAATCTAGCAGGAAATTTTCTAATGATATAGAAGACAACAGACTTCTCCTTTTACACACGTTTACAAGTCCTTGAGGGGCTGACAAAGACTGATTACACATACATTGCCAAGCCATACTTGAACTCTCAGAGTTTGTGATTCATTTCATATTCCGTTTTTGCTAGTATTGTTTTTGTACTGAAAACTCTAAAGTTCTCAAATGAGGTGGCACCAACTTTATGGATGGCGGGATCTCTTAGTTTAATTATTCTTAACATTTTTGGTTCATTTGTACATTACAATTTTTTCTTGGAATCACGTGCCTCCATCTTGAATGGGAGAAAAACAGGTGGTAAAACTCTTGTACTCTGTAAGCAGAGTACTTGAATAATGATTTTACTTTTCCCTCAGGATTAATTAGCTAGGTGCTTGTAAAGTGACTTTGTTAACATCACTTCTTACCACGTATTTCGTGAAAGAAGAAAAGGTAAGAACCTTCACTACTGACCATTTATGATTCTCTTCCGATTTCACAATATGGTACTTTCCCAGTTTGCATATATAAGTCTCTTCCTGTAATTAAAAAAAACAGTATTTTGATTCTAATTTAAGTTTTTGACTTACAAAAGAAGGAACTATACTGAGTTCATTTCACTGGGAATAATAAAAATAAGTAGTTGTAAATTGGTATTTTCCATTTTATTTAAATCTATACTTACAATCTATTTTTGAAACATGGGGTTTTGTTTCCATTCCTGACCCCACTTGTCAAGGATATCCACAAAGGTGGCTAGATTTTATAATACTGATTCAGGTCAAAGATGAAATAAATCTTGTCTGCAACTACTGTGGCCATAGTAAGATTTCTGAAGGCGATCATCAGTGGGAAGTCCTGTGATTGAAGGATTTAGCTCAGAAAGTCAAACCAGAGATGATGGGAGTGTAATCAGAAAAGGAGAGTTAGATCAGGAGAGGTGGATGAAATGAGGTGCAAAAAGGAGCCCTACAAAAAAGAAATGAAGGCTTTAAATTTATCAGCCTTAATAAGCAAGGAAAAAAACAGGAGGGGATTGAAAAGAGCAAGAAAGAAAAGAAGGAAGAAGAATGGGAGAGCTTTAAAGTGAAAGTGGAGAAAGGAAGCAGAAAGCGAGACTAAGCCAGCACACCTGATCATCTAGGATATTTAAAAGGATAGGTTTAATAAAAGTACATTTATATTTAAACAAGTAGTTAGTGTGATACGGAAGTTAAAAAGCAGATGCTCTGAATTTACACTATCCGGAAGTCCTGTTTCCATTAGGTATCAGCTAAGTTCTTGGGTCAGTCCTTAACTTTGAAACCTTCTGTTTCCTTACCTGTAAAATGGGATATTACATGTACAATTCACTGGCGGTTGTGTTAGAACCCATAAAGTCATGCTTGTAACACATTTATTATGATACCTGGAGCATAGCAAGTAGTCTAAAATGTTACTTATTCTTATTTCACAGAAACAAAGTGTTTAAAGAAGCATATGCCACTACTTGCCCTAATTCACTTTTTAAACAAATCATTGCACTTCATATTTAACCTCACACAGTATCATTTAAAAATCAACTACATACACAGCAATCTAGTTTCTTCCTATTCCCTTTTGGCATAGTTAACTGTAAGAAAACTCTAAAGAAGAGTTGATTTCTTATTCTAAGTTTAATATCCCACCCCCCAATGTTTGCTTCCACTTTCATCCCAATGAACTCAAAACTCTTAAGCAAATTAAATAATTTGGCAAAATTAGTGCACACAGTGTGACAGACTTGATATGCTATATAGTCCTCTCTGGGGTGTTTGTCAAAAGACTATATCAATATGAATGTCAAATTACAAACACTGGAGTCTGTGCACTACGGGATATGGGAAAGTGGAGGGCTTTTAAATCATCCTGATCCTTTCCACATTCACTGAGTTGGAGCTACTACATACTAATCTACCTTGGCAAGTTCCCTTTTCTCTGTTCTTTCCCTGCTAGCTCTGCTACCATCCTCCCTCAGAGAGAACCCATATAATTCAATCCTATCAGGTCTCCCACATCTATTCTTGTCACCTCCCAAGCATTTTTGGCAGAATGATCTTTCCAAATATAACTGATAATGCAACTGTCGTGATGAAAGCCTGCTATTGTTCCCCATTGCTACATCAATAAACAAAGATTTTTATATTTTGATATTTTAGATCATTATATCGAAATAATGAAGATTCTATACATTGCCTACAGGGCCTTATCTACACCCTCACGCTCCTCTTCATCCTCCATCTACTCACACTCTCCATACCCTGATCACATTGGCTTTCTCGCCAGTTTGGAGAAGGCACTGACCTTCTCCTGCCCCTGGGCCTAAACATAAGCTCTGTCCTCTCTTCTCCATTTAGGCATGGGCTGCTCTTTTCCAAACTTCCAAGCACATTTTTAAAACAGTTAACTCTTCAGATTCCAACTCAATGCCACCCCAGAGAATCTTTCTTCCTCACTTTGCCCCTGCTCTGCCCTCATCCCATAGTCATTTTATTGCTGTCCTGGAATCCTGCATTTTCTCTTTATAGCACTAAAATGTCAACTATGCTGTCATTTCTCCTGGACTTTTCTATAAATAGCCTATTTACATTGTAACTACTATATTTTTCCTTGTGATTGTTACTTAATATTTATCTCCTTATTAGAATTTAAATTTGATTAAAATTGGGACTTCGTGTTGTCTTGCCATTAGATCCCAGCACCTACGGCATAGATAACATAAGTGTTTTATGTAATAATAAAGACATAAAAGGTCCAGGAAGCATATTTGGCTCTTTTTTTTTCCCCCTTTTTTTGTTTTGAGACGGAGTCTCGCTCTGTCACCCCGGCTGGACTGCAGTGGCTATCTTGGCTCACTGCAAGCTCCGCCTCCTGGGTTCACGCCATTCTCCTGCCTCAGCCTCCCGAGTAGCTGGGACTACAGGCACCCGCCACCACGCCCGGCTAATTTTTTGTATTTTTAGTAGAGACAGGGTTGCACAGTGTTAGCCAGGATGGCCTCGATCTCCTGACCTCGTGATCCACCCATCTCGGCCTCCCAAAGTGCTGGGATTACAGGTGTGAGCCACCGAGCCCAGCCTTGGCTCTTTTACATATGTGATCTTCTCCCCACCAGGCAAGGTAGGATGGTGTGTCCCCATTCACCGCTGATGAACTCAGTTACGAGAGGTAAAAACTATTCCCAAGATCACATATCTAATATCTAGCAGGTGCCAGAGCTGAGATTAAACCTTTTATGTTTTATTTAGAAAATCAAGGTTCTATTCACAACATTCTGCTATTTCTTACTCTCTCGGTTTCCTGAACTTTGATCACAGAAATGTTTAAGTGAAATTACTTCCTGCTACTCCTGTCTTAGTCGTTTTCTGTGCGCATTTCCTTGACTTTAAGCACCATTTTATTCAGCTTTGACCAAAGGGACATAGGACTCCCAAGTCCCTGTAGAATCATCCAATAACGCATTTTACATTATGTGTTTCTCTCTCCATCACTTACAAAGGTTGCAAGTGTTGGGACTGTCAAAATTCAAACATAATATGAACTAGAGCTTTCACCATCCTTAGATTCCTTTTGATTATTTTTCTCCAGATGACATCAGTGCTCCTTGGAACACTAGTGTCAACACACATTTCTTTTTCTTTCTGCCCAAGTAAATGTAGTAATAGAATATTTTGTTCTTTAAAATTGAACTTGTTTGAAATAATAGCAGGTAACAGAAACAGGATGGAAATACATTTTGTTTGTTTAGTTGGTTGTTGTTTTTCCTTGGATATATATATTGCAATGAACCTTCCCACTGGAAGCTAAAACAGCTTAGACAATTAGAATTACCTGACTTTCAGAAACATGGATGGGTAGTATGTTTTTCCTGGACCCAACAGGAACTTTCATCTTCATCAAAAGTAGCATGTACCTCCCCTTCAGCATGTCAGAGCCTGGGCACCACCTCCAGTTTTGCCTATGCCTCCTGTATACATTAATCAGGCACAAACAGCATATTTTTAGATATCAAAATGACTTTAAATGCTGATCCTTTGATGTCCTTAAGGGATATTACCAAGAAATGCTGAATATTAAGACCAAGGCATGAATATTAAGACCAAGGCATGAATATGTATGTCCAGATTATGTATAAATGATATATAATCACTTGTTAACCTTTATATCCCTTTTAGAATAAGTGTTAAATGAATAAAGCTAGAAGGAATAAGCTGTCTTTTGCCCTTTCCTTCCCCAGGGTTTTATAGTTCAATGCCCTCCCATCTGATTTAAAAACTATGGTTTAAATATTCTTTTCAGAATGGTTTTTACACATTAGTAGAGTTTACATAATATCCAAATAAATTCCAAGTGTATGTTTTCAACTGCAAATGTTCAATTATTTTTGATGTTAGAACAGAAGTTACAGAAAAGAATAAAATCCTACTGTGTTATGTTTATCACATTCAAGGTGATGAGGGTGAAAACAAGACCACTTTTTCCATTCTCAGAGCCTAGAAAATGTCATTCCACAGATATTTCTACATACAGTCATAGTTCTTTAGAGCTAAATCGAAAATAATGAAGTTACTCTGGTTTAAGGTAAGGGGCAGAACCCTGCCCCCTCAGGCAGTTCACTTTGTGGGAACCACCAAAAAAATAACCCTGGAATTTGTCTTGAAAATTAAGAATCTATCTCAGTCTCCCCAGGCTAAATTGCAAAAACAGATTTCCAATGTACCTCAGTGAGTTGCCAAGGGGAATGAAGACCAGTTACTGGCTGGACTAGAACTGTAGAAGGTAGTTCTTTTCACTGTCTTACTGGGGCTTTAGGTCACTCTGCTTTTATTCATCAAATAGAAGGCTGATCAATTTTCTTATAGGTCTGGATTCATAATATCTGCCTTGATTCAATCATTTGATGTGGCTTCTAAGAAGACCTAAAATGTCAGAAAGTAAAACTATAGAGTAAAATAGCAGAGTTAGATAAATTATTAAATAACTATTTATTTTTGCTACGTGTTTTAATTTGGGTTAGAAACACAAGACTAAATCATGAGTTAAAAAAGCACTATGCTTGCCCTTACAGAACTTACAGTCTAGTGTGGGATGCTGGCATTAAGTAACCATTAAAATAAATGTAAAATTACAACTGTGATTAAGACAATAAAGGAGTGTCACATGGTAACATGAAGATGCAGAACTCCCCTTTACTCTAGAGGATCAGGGAGGATATAGAGATATTTTCGACTGAAGTAAAATATTTAAGAGAACATATTTTGTCGAAATGGTATAAAACAATTGAAAATGTTTAATTGTCTTCATTGTTGCATTTTAAAATGATTTTGTTTTTTACATACATCCAAATTGAGGCTTTTGCTTCAATTTTATGACAAAATACATCTTAAGCATAATACCTCACTATTCATAATGGTATGTTTCTACAAAATAAAGAACCATCCATCTCTATGATTTTGCTAAAGATAAGTATACAAATACTGTATTTCCATAAACATTCTGTATTCTTCTGTATGATGTATGATCTATCCCAGGCACACAAACACTTTCTTTCCATTAGAAGTAAACTATATTATATTGAAGGAGAATATCTTCAATATAAACTAAACCATAAGAATAAAATTGGTTTCTATTGAATAAGAAGTATTGGGATAAAAATCCTTTCTGCAACAGTTAAAGTATGTGTCCATTGTTATCATGTCAGTTACTAATAATTACACTTCACTAACAAATCATGTAAATAAATAATACATATATGTTTTTCTGACAGGCTATTCTAAAAAGACTGAATGTGTGTGTTAGGAAGCAGGAAAGATAATCCATCGTGGGAATTGTTTCATTGCTTGAAATAATAAAGTGGATATTTCAAGAAATAATAAACAATATACCCTTTAAAAATCCAAATAAGATGAGCTATTGCATTTAAAATATTTCAGTTTTTTGAAGAGTGAAATAGACACAATGTTCTTATGTATTAATCATTATCAAGTAATAAAACATTTGAGTTACTTAGTATACTTGGCAGGCCCCTCTGAGAATCTCAACATTGTGAAGAAGATAAGTCATCACAGCCATTAATTGGTCATTGGTATTGATTCATGTTAAATTACCTAGAAATCTCATATTTTTTTTTCTTTAAAACCATATTTTACCTCTCAGTACTTTGAGAGGCCAAGGCAGGGGTATCACTTGAGGTCAGAAGCTTGAGACCAGCCTGGCCAACATGGTGAAACCCTGTCTCTACCAAAAACACAAAAATTAGCCAGGCATGTGGCATATGCCTGTAGTCCCAGTTACTTGGGAGAATGAGGCACGTGAATGGCTTGAACCCAGGAGGTGGAAGTTGCAGTGAGCCGAAATCTTGCTACTGCACTCCAGCCTGGGCGACTGCGTGAGACTCTGTCTCAAAAAAAAAAAAAAATCATATTTTAAGCTGAAAAAATGTACAAAAAAACAAAAGTTATTAATTTATCAAATATACTGTAATGGACTTTCTCTTTTTTCATAACCAAGCAGAGAGAAGAATTAGGACTTAAATTAGAACAGAAACCAGAGTGAGAAAGTATTCCTTGAACTAGGAACCAAAAACTGTTTGCAAGTTAACTGAACTTCAGCTTATATTATATGTCTCTTTAAGAAATAGAATATACATGTTGTTATCAGGAATTCTTAAAACTTAGGGTCAGGGAGAGAAGAAGGCAGGTGTTTAAAAAAAAAAAACCCTCTTATTTTAAATAAATTAGAAGCAGAGCTTAAATTCAAAGTCTTCACTTCTTTCCTTTCTACTAGGAGGCCTCCAGTGCTGCCATTTGTCAGATTTTGAGTGAATATCTCTTTATATTTGTCTGCTCTACAACCTCTGCATACATTCATTTTCTAAAGTTATCATTTCACATGGTTGTCTCATATTCCATTCTTTTATTAAATAAGAAAAACAATGAGTAATTATAAGTCAGGGATATGAAAATGAACCCCACTGAACTCAGAGTCTGACTGCCCTGTGTATATGTGTGAAGACTTAGACGGGGTCCTAGTGCTCTGTGTTGGCATCACATTCTGGCAGTAAGTTACCTCTCCAGCACTCTCAATAGTGCCCTAGTGAGCTAGCAATATTAATGCATTTTCTTGGATATCTCACATATTACTAGGGAATGACATTTGCATGGCAGAGATCCTCATTATGGAATAATAAAAAACACTGCAGACATATCTAAAGGCAAAAACAGTGGCCAAGAGACTCACAGCTGTTAATGGGAACCCTATGTCCATTTTTTATTCTGGATATAAAAAGTTAAACAGAGCATTGCCTGTTCCATTTAAAGGTCTTACCTCGTTGAAGAGCCAAAGTAAGTCATCTAGAAATTTTAGTTGTCTTTGCTGCCCTTAAAATATCATACCTCTTTCTCTTTTATTCCTATCAGTCAGAAATCAAAGAAGGAGGCTCTCATCCAGAAACCTTCTCTATCTAGCTTGTAAAATCCCAAACTACAGAAATCCTAGAAGAAAATCTAGGCAACACCATTCAGGAGATAGGCACAGGCAAGAATTTCATGATGAAAATGTCAAAAGCAATTGCAACAAAAGCAAAAATTGACAAATGGTATATAATTAAAAAAGAGTTTCTGCATAGCAAAATAAACTATCAGTAGAGCAAACCAACAACCTACAGAATGGGAGAAAATTTTTGCAAATCCATCTCACAAAGGTCTAATATCCACAGTCTACAAGGTACTTAAACAAATTTACAAGAAAAAAAAAAACACTAAAAAGTGGGCAAAGACTGAACAGACACTTCTCAAAGGAAGACATTTATGCAGGCAACAACCATATGAAAAAAAGCTCAACATCACTGATCATTAGAAATATGCAAATCAAAACTACAATGAGATACCATCTTACAGCAGTCAGAATGGCTATTATTAAAAAGTCAAGAAACAACAGATGCTGGCGAGGCTGTGAAGAGGTAGGAAAGCTTTTACACCATTGATGGGAATGTAAATTAGTTAAGCAATTGTGGAAGACAGTGTATAGATTCCTCAAAGACCTAAAACCAGAAATACTATTTGAGCCAGCAATCACATTAAGGGGTATATACCCAAAGGAATATAAATCATTCTATTTAAAGATACATGCATGCCTATGTTCACTGCAGCACTATTCACAATAGTAAAGACATGGAATCAACCCAAATGCTCAATGATAGACTGGATAAATAAAATGTGGTACATATATACTATGGAATACTATGCACTCATAAAAAGGAATGAGATCATGTCCTTTGCAGGCACATGGATGGAACTGCAAGCCAGTATCCTTAGCAAATTAATGCAGGAACAAAAAACCAAACACCACATGTTCTCACTCATAAGTGGGAGCTGAACAATGAGAACACATGGATACAGGGAGGGGAACAACACACACTGGGGCCTGTCCAGGGTGGGGGTGTGAAGGGGAAGGGAGATCATCAGGAAAAATAGCTAATGCATGCTGGGATTAATGCTTAGGTGATGAGTTGATACGTACAGCAAACCACCATGGAGCACGTTTATCTATGTAACAAACATGCACATCCTGCACATATACCCAGGACCTTAAAATAATGAAAAAGTAAAAAAGTTAGCATACAGTATTCTCAACCCTTAGACATAACAACATGAAATAGCTAGGATGTATTTAAGAAGAGCCAATGGCATGTGTTGGGGAACTGTTTCATTTTGGGGACAGTGATGCAATAAGGGAGGTGGGAACCTAAATTTAGATGCCATTTGAAAAAAAATCCTTTAAAAATGATTAATACTAGTATATGCCAGTAAAGCAAATTGAGTTTTCAAGTTACAGTGCATAGCACTGTAATGTTTCCTTGCTCTATCATCAAAGAACAGTCCAAGCTCTACAATTCTATAATTACCCTCCCGCATAATTTTTTAAATGTTAATTATTACATACTTAATTTACAATATATTGATGATTTGAAAGCTGCCTACCTAATGTTCTTATGGAAAACTGTTATAAATCCCTCTATGTAGTGTTTAGTATCTCACAATGATTAAACAATGGCAACCAACTTTAGAGTTTAAAAGGTACTTATTTAAAATAGACATGAAAACCGGCATACAAATGTAGGTATTTTATTCAAAATTTTCTCCAACTGTCACCAACTGGGATGCCAATGCATACCAGGCCTGGTAATTAGAGATCATTAGACCCACATCCGTATTTGACTATTGCACCGGGGTAAAGTTTGGTGGCAGGAACCAGATATCAGGGATGGGAGGATATGATTTCAGCTGTTGGCAGTGGAAGCCTGAAACAAGGGGGTATCAGGAAAGTGACAAATAGAAATAAGCGCAGAAGATAACTAAGAGATCACAAGAAAAGAGCAGTGCTGTAAAACGAAACTGATTTTGGGGACTCTGTGTTGAAGAACAGAGCTTTTATTGGGAAAGTCTGTTACAGTAACTTAAGCTCTTCTGAGGTTTTTTTTTTTTTTTTAACACTTCTTGAGAGAGAGTAGACATATAGTTGTCTGTATATAAATGCATGTTGCTATGTGTGAGAGAGAAAGGGAGAAGGAGGAAAATAAAATGACAAACGGATCCTTGACAAATAATCACAGTTGATTTTTTTTTAATCCAGAACCCCCAGAAAATTTTCTACTTTCCTGTACTTGAGTTCACATACATATGATCATTTATTTCAAAGGTGGCAGAATCCCCAAATGAGTCATTTAAACAAACGATTACACATGGTTGTTCCTCATATAGCTTGAAATACTAGGCTTCTATGAATAATAAGTTCTTGGTATCTATAGTAAATCCTATATTAACTAACACTTTGAAATAGACTGCTAAGTAGTATACAAAGATTATGATTCTTTACTACAATGTCAAGAAGCAAGCAAATGGTTTATGGAAAGGAAAGATGATCTTTCCAGGGGTATAAAAGGGAGATCAATGAAGATATTTAAACTGTTAGTAAATATAATATTTATTAATCATATTTAGTAATAATATTTATTTTGAGACAGGGTCACCCAGGCTGGAGTATAGTGGCTCAATCACAGCTCACTGAAGTTTTAATCTCCTGGGCTTAAGCAATATTCCCACCTTGGTCTCCCAGGTAGCTGGGACTACAGGCATGGACCACCACACGTGGTTAATTTTTTTTTCTTTTTTTGTAAAGATGGGGTCTCACTATGTTGCCAGGTTTGTGTTAAACTCCTGGGCTTAAGCAATCCTCCCGCCTCAGCCTCCCAAAGTGCTGGGATTACAGATGTGAGCCATCATGCCCAGTTGCTCTATTTAATAATAAGGGTTGTGTGGCAGGCAGCTTATGGTATGGCCTGCAGTGATCTCATTTCTTGGTATTCATGCCCTATACAATCCTCTCCCTTGAGTGTGGCTGGGCCCATTTATTTGCTTCTAATGAATTGAATATGGCAAAAGTAATGGGATAACACTTCCCAGGTTTGATTACAAAAAACACTATGGCTTCTCGAAGACTTTCTCTCCACTCCCTCTCTCCCTCTTCTCACATACTTGCTCCGATGAGGCAAGCTGAAGA
Organism: Homo sapiens; assembly: GCF_000001405.40. Classification (NCBI taxonomy): domain Eukaryota; kingdom Metazoa; phylum Chordata; class Mammalia; order Primates; family Hominidae; genus Homo; species Homo sapiens. The sequence goes on along the minus strand of NC_000005.10, from coordinate 165,837,558 downwards.
AGTCTGCATGACAAGGAACTGAAAATAACCCCTGGCTAACCACCAGGGAAGAGAGAAGCTCCTCAATTCAGTGATCTTTGAGGAACTAATTCCTGCCAGCAACCATGTGAAGGACATTGGAAGATTCTTGCTCATTTGAGTCTTCCAGTGAGAACCTTGGCTGATTCCATAATTACAGCTTTGTGGGATTCCCTGGAGCAATGGACTCAGCTAAGTTTGACCCACAGAAATTGTGAGATAATAAATACCTGCTGTTTGAAGCTACTGAGCATTGGGATAACTTGTCATGCAGCAATAGACGATTAATATAGATTTTTTTATCAGAAATATAAATCTTAAGCAGTCCTTCTGAAAAATTTGCCAAACAATCTCACAATCTCAGGAAAAAGGTTACTAATGTCTGTTTACTGATTTACCTATTAAAGATTTAAAAATCAGGACTGGGGAAAGGTCTAACCAGAGGGAACATTTTTAAATACCAACCAATTTGTTATAATGTTGGATAAAACACTTCTTGTCCTCTTTTCTTTTCTAACTAGACTCACTCTCTTGGTAATTACATTTTGTCTTATGGTTTTAAATACCATCTATATGTCAAGAACTTCCAAATTTATATTTCAAAATTCGTTCCAAAAATCAAAATACATATCCTACTACCTACTTGAAATTTCCACTTGCATGCTTAATAGAATATCTCAATCCCTACTGATCTCTATAGTTTTGTTGTTTCTCAAGATAGCTTTGACTATTTGGGGTCTTCTGTGGTTCCATATGAATTTTAGGATTCTTTTTTCTATTTTTTTAAAAGTGCCACTGAAATTTTGATAGGGATTACATTCAATCTGTAGATTGCTTTGGGTGTCAGCAACATTTTAACAATATTAATTCTTCCATGAACATAGAATGTCTTTCTTTGTGTCTTCTATAATTTCTTTCATCAATGTCTTCAAATTTTCAGTGTATAGAGCTTTCACCTTCTTGGTTAAATTTATTAGTATTTTATTATTAATATTTTTCATGCTATTGTAAATGGGACTGTTTCATAAGTTCTTTCTCAGCTAGTTCATTGTTAGTGTATATAAACACAATTGATTTTTGTATGTTGATTTTGTATCCTGCAACTTACTGAATTTATTAGTAATGACCGTATTTTGATAGAGTCTCTAGGATTTTCTATATATAAAATCATGTCATCTGCAATCAGAGACCATTTAATGTCTTCCTTTCCAATTTGGATGCCTTTTATCTTTTTTTCTCAAACTGAATTGGCCACTCCAACTTGTAATAGCCTTCATATTTTAAATGTCAGCAACTCCATTACTTCAGTTGTGCAAAGCCAAAATTTGAGTCATTCTTGACTCATCTTTCTCATACACCAGGGTGCAATTCACCAAGAAATCTTGGCTGCACCTTCAAAATATATTTAGAATTTACCACTTCTTACCATTTATTTACAAGCCCCCATAATCTTTCACCTTGTTTATTGCAATGGACTCCTAATTAGTTTGATTACATATACTAGCTCTGCTTCTTTCATCAGTTCTCTATATGATTACCAGGGTAATCTTTTAAAAACAGTATAGAGATCATTTCCTTTATCCCAATTTCACTCAGAGCAAGATACAGAATGTCTTCAATGGCCTACAAGACCCTACAAGATCTTGATTCCCATTAGCTCTTTGACATCACTTATTACTATTCATTTATGTACTTGCTCTTTTCATCAACATCAGCCTCCTGGTTCTTCCCCTAATATCAGTCATGTCAATCATCAGTAAAGTGTTTTTAAGCCTTTACTCAGATGTTACCTATTTGATGACGCCTACTATGACTACTCTCTTTAATTGTAGCCTCCCTACTCCCACCCCTGTCTCTAACAGGCTTACTTTGCATTATTTTAAAACAAAAATTTAAGCATTTATCACCGTCTAACATCTTCTCTGCTTTACTTACATATTTTGTTACTTGCTTGTTGTCTGCTTTTTAAAAAAATATAAGTCAGTTTTTTGTTATTCACTGATGTATGTTTTATTCACTTTCTAGAAAGGTCCTGACATGGAAAAAACTCCCAGTAAATATTGTTAGGACGAATGAATGAATGAATGCCAAAGTAATACCACTTTAACATGGTCCATTGACATCCCAAATTAATTTATCCTAATACTCTGCTCAAGTTGCACAAAAATACACACATTCCCTGTTATGACTTTTCTTGTCTCTGACTTTTATACCTGCTGCTCTCACTTCCTTTTACACTCTTATTCATTCTTCTCTCCAGTCCCACTTCTGTAGTCCTTGTAGCTCTCCTTAATGGGTTAACCATGCTTTGAGACATAGCATACATGCTAACTCCTCTAGGAAGAATTTTCTGACATCCATTAACCACCCACCACTCCTACCTCCCACTAAAGCTAGGTTTGACACCCACCCACCTGTAATGCCAGAAAACCCTACACTTATCCTTAATGCTATAATAACTGGATAGCAATCAGTTCTTACTGTGCCAGGAGCTCTGCTAAACGTTTTAGGTGGATAGTTTTATTTAATCATCATAACATGTACGCTAAAAATGTGTACTAGAAACGTCTGGTGCTTCACTCACATCATGTCATTTTTTTTTAAAGTTTCCTGGTCCCCTTCCCGCCACCTCCCCCCACCTTTTTTTTTTTTTTTTTTTTTTTTTTTGGCCAGTTTAATGTGGATTTGTCTTCAATAACCTTCACCTGTGACTTTTCTTTAGTGGTCAGCCCTCAAGTTATTGGAGTCACTCTGCACCCCAATCAGAAGTTCTTGGGAATTATTTTCCTCCAAGGGAAATTGTTTGTCAACGTGTGTGGCCTGGAAGATTATAAAAGGCCAGCACCCTTAATCCAGATTGGTGTAACACTGGGCTTAAGAATAACTTCAGAGTTTCCTAGGGGGACCAGGCTGAAATAATCCTCTGCTAGATTTGGCCTGAAATTTAATTGTAGTTGTCTTGTTCTTTGCACCACCTACCACGAGCAGCCTACTGAGTAGTGAGTAGATGTTCAACAAATATGTGTTTAATTCATGTTGGTTAATAATACTAGCAGGCTTTTATGGCAGAAGTTAGCTATACTCTGGTTGAAAATATGTCAAGTAAAAATTAATTGATAATCGAGAAGCAAAGAAATAACTTTAATTTTGAAGTCTGAAAAATTTCATAGGCTTGACCTATAGAAGATATGAGCCTTCCAAATTTAAGAAATGAAGCATAGATTTGGGGAATAAAAAATAAAAACTCCCTAACATTAAGATTTTCTGTATATCCACCTACAGCTTTTCAATTGATTTAGAAAATATCTTTCAGATATGAAATAATATAGAATAAATAGCTATCTTAACCAAACTCTCTTTACTGTCTGCTAAGTAATAGCATGGTAGTCATAAGGCTAAGTGCTATACAGATATTATCTCATGGACTCCTCATAAATACCCTCATATATAGGTACCATTAACATCCCCACTTCACAAATAGGAAAGCAGAAGCATAAAAAGTGTAAATAATCTGGGCAGATTAACACGAATAATATGAGAGTAAAGCTGGAAGTAAAATGGGGTAGAGTAAGTAGCTTTTGTAAACAGCGTTTAAGGCTGCTTCTCCTGTTCTCAACTGATAGTTGATGATCTGTCTTCAATCACTTCTCTGATCTTTTTTTTTTTTTAATACTTTCTATTGAAGTAGTAGAGACTGCCAAGGTTTGCAGAATAACATTTAAGTAATCATTTCACCCTAAGAGAAAATTACTCTTGTGTATGGCATTAAAGAATAAAATTATCTGAGACATGACTAATATACTTTAACACAATAAATGCATTTAACTGATTTATTATTTCTGTGCCAGGGAAAGGTTCTATGTACACAACTTATGTGATTAATATCAAGAATTTATACATAATTTACAACCCTTTTATATAAGTATGTTAAATAATCAAACTGTAAGAACAATGTTCATGATGGACTTTGCCTCATTTTAAAAGGATATTATTTCAATTTTCATTTAATGTTTCAAAACTGCAACATTTCTTCAGCCCACAAAATCATCACAAAGAATGTACTTTATATTGATATGAGTTTTTAATAGGAATATATAAAATATTTTAATTTCAAATGAAATATATGTGTCTTAAAGAAAGCTTGATTATCTATGATTCATGTTTCAAATAAGTTCTAAAAAGACAAGTAATAAAAACTCTGGCTAAAAAGCTTTTAAAATAATGCTATTGTCCCAGAAAACAATTATATTTCTTGTATCCAGGAGCAGGTTATTTCTAAAGCCTTTACTTAATGGCAATTGCTTTAATGTTTGCCTAAGGAAAATGTTAAAATATTAATAAACCAGTAACCTATTCCTTGATAGTGAGTCACCTGTTTGAACTTTCAGCTCAATCACTTACAAAAAAAAAAAAGCCAAAATTTAATATAAATATGGAAATGGAAGTAGATATATTACAAAAGAAGAAATATGTAGACAGGTATTTTTCCAGTCAGAGGTGGCAACTTCAACTGTAGTAAAAATAAAAGTAGTGCATGTGAAAATTAAATAGGAGAAGTTAAAAATTGGCAAAATCTTCAGTCTAAAATCTTCAGTGGGCTTCAATTTGTAGTCTTCTGCAATAATCGGACATTTAAAAGTAGTTCCATTTAATCAAAAAGGATATAAAGCACATTTTAGAACATTTCATTACAGAAATACTATATATCATTATCTGAGAAGAATATATGTAAAACATTCAAGGTTTTCTCTGTGTAACCACTATAGATTTAAGCATTATTGAAAGGAACATTAAAAGTCTGTTACATGTACACAAAAGTAAAATGTAAGTCCCAGTCTTACTGGCCTTTATAATAATTAATTTTTACATAATTTATTCAACACAATACATGAACTAATTTAAACAATCTGCTGATTGATATTTAACTATTATACCTACATGTGTAATTTACGAAAATTCTGGGCAATTTAGATAACTTTCTTCTTTGTGTTGAAATTGTGTTCTGCATATCTGAGCACCTCCAGCAATGCTATTTTCCTGAACAAAAGATTATAATTATTTATAAGTAAACATGAACTGCTTTTGACAAAGAAGCATATGAAAGATTGACAGTATCATAGCTGAACACACATCCCCACACAAGACAGAAAAAACAGATGGACCTCGATTACCCAGCCACTTAAAGAACAGTTGTTTTACTCTGACTTATCTGTAATATGGTTTTATTTCTAGATTTTGTTTGGCATTTGCATAGATTATTTTTGTTTTAACACCAAGATGCTAATGTGTTAACTTACTTCTTTCTGTTGATCACCTCCTGTATCCATATCCTTTTTAGAACTCTCTTTCCACTGCTTAATTCAAGTACATAGAGTCTTCCTTCCAGATTTTGCAGTGGCTTAGTCTATCTGCCATCTCTCTCTGCAGCTTATGATTCACATTCAAATGGCTAATCAAGTCACTGTAATCATGCCATTCTTCTACTTGGAGATTTTTGGTGGTTTTTTATTGCCTGAGCATAATTTACAAGTCCCTAGCATAGTATTCATAGCTCTTAATGATCTGTTCTTATCTTTCTAATTGTATATCTTAGTTCTTCCATATGCAATTTTTCATCAATATAGAGTTTTGACAAGATTTATTTTTATCATTGCAATATGTGAGTATTTGAATACCTTGTGATATATCCATCCTATGAAACACTATTAAAACTGTCAAAACTGGGACATTTAATATGAACTAGACTGATATATCTGAGTATTATGTAACACAGAACATCAGTATATGTTCTGTGAGCTGTAGACAGTATATTTTAGATTTTTAAGCTCATTTTCTCCTTAATAAAATTGAGAAAACAATAACACATACTTAAATTCCATATACTTATTAGGAATAATGTATGGTAAGATGTATGCTAACATATGAAGCATGTGTAAAATGAAATAAACATAAATAAATGTTGGATTTCATGATATTGGTAACAAAAATGAAGGTAAAAATGATGAAGAGAAGAAAGTTGAATGATAATAATAAAACAAGAAAACCTCCGTATAAGCTTTAGTATGATCTCAAGTTTACACACAGGCAGATGGAAACATATTATTCTGAAAAGTAATATTTTACAATGGGTAAACAACGGGTAACTGTGAGTGGCACTTCTAATAATTCTTCCAAAGATAACAATTATAACCTTTGGACAATAGGTACAACCTAATTTAAGGTACTGGTGAATGAAAAAAGGCAGGGAGGCAGGGAGATACTGAAGAGAAATTGACACTACGAAGAAATAAAGGGCTGGGTTTGAGCTTTATATTTTGTGCGGCATGTACTCTGAGAACAGTCTCAAGTTTTCATCATGTGGGGTGCTTAATGTGCTGACATAAAAGCTGCAGTCTTATAAACTTGAAGTAATAGAGAATTTGGGGAAATCACAGCACTTGCAAAGTGAGGAAATCTAAGGAAAGTGCCAGAGTTGAGGAGCTCTAAGTAATGTAGATAATCCCTGCCTGCCCAAAACACTGACTGACCAAATAACCATGTAGGCACAGAGCACATCACCAGAAGTTAAATGAACACTGAAGAAAAGTGAACAGAGATTTTTATCTACTGTCCACCTTAGTAAGGACAAAGTTGGAAGTGCGAGTTCAGCCACGCTAATTGCCTTTTTAAAAAAATCTATATTCTTCAGATAAACAGAAAAAAATTCATAATCCCTGCAATTCAAATTCACAGTGTCCAGCATATAAACTGAAATTATGTAGCATACAGAGAAACAATTATATGACAGATCATTAGGGGAAAAGACAATCAAAAGAGATTACCCTCGAAATGGCAGATGTTGGAAATAAGAGACAAAACTTTTAAGTCCATTTTTAAAATACGTGATGAATGAAAATATGTTTGTAATGAATGAAAATACAGAAATACACAATTAAGAAACAGAACTTAAAAAATAGGAAAGTGGAACATGCTATATATATATTTTTAATGCATTGAATGGCATTAATAGCAGACTGAAGTTTAAGAAAGTAAGAGTCTGTGAACCTGATAATTGACAGAAATAAATATCCATACTTTAGAAAGAGTAACAAGATAGAAAATATAAGCAATATGGGACAATATCAAAATGTCTATGATTTGGCAGAAAGAGAAGAAATAGAAAATGAAGCAAAAAATATAGTTGAAGAAAGAGTGGCTGAAATTTTTTTCTTATATAGTTAGAGATATAAATTTTTTAATTCAAAAAAGATCAGGCAGCATCAAACAGACAGACTATAAAAAAATACTATCTAGACCCATAGTCAAACTAATGCAAATTAAACAAAGAAAATCTTGAAATTAATCAGAGAAAAATGAAACATTACATAAAAGAAAACAATGAATGAAATGATGCCAACATTTTACTAGAGACTGTGGCAGACGGAAGGCAGTAAATTAACATCTAAAAGTAGTGAAGGAAAAGAGCTGTTAATTGAGAATAATATATAGAAAAAATATGTTCTTCAAAAATGAAATCAAAACAAATACCTATGCTGATGAGATAAAACTAATATAATTTGCCCCTAGCAGACTTGCACTGCAACAAAAGTTATAGAAAGTGCTTCAGATATAAGCGAAATGATCTCAGATGAAATATTGGCATTTCAGAAAAATATAAACAACATCAGAAATGATAGACACATGGGTAATTTTGTCTTTTCATAAGCATTTAAAAACTAAATATGACTATTTGAAATAAGAAATTTAGTCTGAGCACAGCGGTGCACGCCTGTAAACCCAGCAGTTTGGTAGACCAAGGTGGGTGGATGGCTTGAGCTCAAGAGTTCAAGACCAGCCTGGGCAACGTGGCGTGCATGTTTTGTCTCAACAAAAAATACAAAAATTAGCCAGGCATGGTGATATGCATCTGTAGTCCCAGCTACTCAGAAGTCTGAGGCGGGAGGATCACTTGGAGCCCGGGAGGGAGAGGTTGCAGTGAGCTCAAATTGTGCAACTGCACTCCAGTCTGGGTGACAAAGCAAGACATTGTCTCAAAAACAAAATAAAATAATAAAATAACAAATTCAATATTATATTAAGGGCTTATTTATAATGTCTATACATGTGATGTATATAAAATTAAAGCATAAATACTAGAAACGATAATTTTTTACTCATTTGAAACTTTCATATATTTTAAATATACTTGCACAATATTGTTATATAGATTATAAATGTTAAGAAAACGTACTTCCATCCTTAAAGCAGCTCTAAAAATATATGCAAAGTAAGTAAATACATCCAAATAAAATTCTAAAAAAGGTAGTTAATTCAAAGGAAAAGAACAAAGAAACAAGGAAAAGAGGAGAAATTAAAATCAAGTTGTCAAACAGTAGACATTTGTTTCAACGATATAAAAAATAGCATATGCTAATGGAACACTGCAATTAAAAGTCAAAGGTTTTCATAATAGATTAAAAAAAAGCCTAAGTACATGTTGAGTACAAAAATTATTATTTATATAAATACATAGAGACTTCCAAGATTAAAAAATGCAGATGATAAGCATAAGAAAGGGCACATTCTGTCACATTGCACAGGTATATGAATATATTAATTGCTTCAAGCAAAACAGTATGCCCAGAGATCTATAAAAATATTTTACAATTGCAAATAATCAGTTATCCAGAAAGACATAACAGTGTAAGTTGGTATTTGACAAATAATAAAAATTCACAATACATAAATTATAAATTGACACAGCTAAAGAAAGAAACAGATAATTCCATAGTTATAGATTTTAACAGGCATCTCTTAAAAATTAGGAGAGCAATCAGATAAAAATCAGGAGAGATATAGAAGATTTGAGTAATGCTATTAAGCTATTGGATCTAATGGATATTTGTGGAACACTTCACCCATAAATATTAGAATATAGAGCCTTTTTAAGGGCAAAAGAAGCAACCAATACGAATCATATTTCAGTCCATAAAACACTCTCAATAAATTTTAAGAATAGACAATAAATACTCTTTGGCAAAAATTAAATTAGAAACAAATATTTTAAAACATAAAAACCACATGTTTAGAAATTAACAAATGCATTTCTAAATAAGCAAAATAATAAATTACTCAGATAATTAGAAAATACATCTGACTGAATAATTACAAAAATAGATCAAAATATGTGGGATACAGCTAAAGCAGTGATTAGAGGGAAATCTGTAGCAATAACCTTTAATATTGGAAACATTTAAACAAGGTCTAAAATCAATAACCTAAAGTTAATCTTTGAGAATATTGGATTAGAAGAATAATCTAAGCCCATAGTGCAGAATAAATAGTTAAAAAAAAAAAAAAAAAAAGAACAAAAATCAATGAAATTAAATACAGAGAGCAACAGATAATTTTCAAAACCAAAATTGGTTCATTAAAAAGATAAATTTGATAAACACCCAGCAAGAATGAAGAAGAAAGAAGAGAATATGAATGAGGAATATGGAAAATGAAAGAAAACAAATTTCACCCTTTATGTAAAGAGGAAGAAATCTGTTAAAAAATACAACTTGCTAAAACAAACAACATGAAACAGAATTTGAACACTATATGTAAAAAATAGAACTTTTATTGAAAGCTTCTACAAATTAAAGTCCAAGTTCAAATGATTTACTATTGATTTGGATACCAAATTTAATTTAAAAAAGTTTTAATTTATTTACCAACTTATGCAAACTTGCAGAAAATAGAGCAGGGAATTCTTCTGAATTACTTCACAGTCTAACCCAAATCCCAAAACTTGACAGAAATATTTTAAAGAAAAAAAATTACAGACTAATTAGGTGAAAATTAAAACATTAGTGGCAGAAATTTTAAAAGACCTAAATAAAGGAGAGATATACCATATTTATGGATTAGAAAACAGTTTTAACTAAATTATTCTATAGAGTCAGATAATTTCATAATTGCAGCAAGCCTTTTTACAAATTTGACAAGTTAGTTCTAAAATTCAAGTAACTGGACTGCCCAGGGCAATATTGGAAATTAAGAATAGGAAAGGATTCTGGGAAGGTGGCAGAGTAGGATCCAGCAGAAATCGGCCAGCTTCCCTACACAATAGCTCTGGTAGTATCGGTCTGATGGAACTAGTTTGGAACTTGGAGCCTATTGAAAGTTTGCAACTTCCAGAGGAAGTCTTGGACTGTAACTTTCAGTTAATTTCAGTAAACAGTAACTTTCCATTAATTTTAGTTGATTTCACCTTTTAGCACGGTAGCAGGCACCCATATCCTACCCCTCATTCCCATAGCAAGCAGCTTGCGGGAGTCAGAGTGGGGAAAAGAACTCTGACTTCCTAATATCTTGCCTCTGTGCTCTGATCACTGATTGATGCTTTTGGTTACAGAAGTGCAGAAAAAGAGACAGTGCATATTTCATTGCACCTCCCCCATTATTGTAACCCTACCCTCTGGGTGAAGTGACTTCCGGTGGACTTAAAGGGCTAGTATCCCTCTCCCCTTTATTGTTCTCTTTTTCCCCTTTTAGAAGCCAGTTGTTACAAATAAGACATTGGAAGGGAAATGCATATATGGAGAAAATTATAAAGACACTGCAAATACACAGGTGAAGGTGCAAGTTTAGAACAGAAACGAAAAGACTTTAAGTTTACACCTTAGGCTGACTGTTGATATGGACATGGCCTACAATAATCCAGAAAACAAAAACCACCACCCACAAATTCTGGGGAAGGCAGAGAACCTGGTTTCAAGAGGTACTGCGTTATTAGACTTAAATGCCCGGTTTTCAACCAAGAAAATCACAAAGAATACAAAGAAACAGGAAAGTTAAGGCCATTCAAACAAACAAACAAAAAAAGCAAGCCAACAAAAACTGTCCCTGGGAAAGACCTCATGGCAGATCTGTTAGACAAAGGTTTCAAAAATGTTCTAAAGATGCTCAGAGAACTAAAGGAGAACATGGAGAAAGTCAGGAAAATGATATATGAACAAAATGGAAATATCAATAAAGAGATAGAAAACCTAAAAAGGAAAAAACAAATCCTGAAGTTGAAAATTACAATAATGGAAATGGAAAACTTCATTAGAGGGATTCAAAGGCAGATTTGATCAAGCAGAAGAAAGAATCAGAGAACTTGAAGATACAGCAATGGACACAGTGGAGTCTTAGGAACAGAGGAAAAAAAAGAACGAAGAAAAGTAACAAAGCCTAAGGGATTTCTGGAACATCATCAAGCCAATTAACACACACATTGTGGTAGTCCTAGAGGATAAAAAAAAGAGACAGAGAATTAAAAAAAAATAATGATTAAAAACCATTCAAATTTAATAAGAAACCAGAATATAAATATCCATGAAGCTCAGTAGAACTTGGAGTAAGGTACACAAGCAGGTGCAAACCAAGACAAATTAACAGCACACCAACATGGCACACGTATACATATGTAACAAACCTGCACATTGTGCACATGTATCCTAAAACTTAAAGTATAATAATAATAAAATAAAAAAATAAAAAATAAAATAAAAGCAAACTATTGAAAGGGAAAACAAAGAGAATTTTGGAAGCAGTAAAAGAAATGCAACTCATCTCGTATACGCAATCTTCAAAACGATACCAGCAGACTTGTCATCTGAACTTCGGAGGCCTAAAGGCAGTAGGTTGATGTATTCAAAATGTGAAAACGGAAAAAATGTCAACTGAGAATCCTATAACTGGCCACAATGTCACTCAAATTTGAAAGAATAATTAAGATATTCTCAGATAAACAAAAGCTGAGGAATATTTCTATACCTGGCATGCAATAAATATTCAAGGGAGTCCTACAGATTAAAATGTAAAGACACTAGACAGTGACTTAAAGCTATATGAAGAAATAGATATCTCAGTAAAGTCAAATACATGGACAATTATGAGAGCTAGTATTTTTGTAACAATGGCATATAACACCACTTTTGGTTTCCTACATGATTTAAGAGAATAGTATAAAGAAAACAATGATTAATCTAAAAGCTAGTATTATAACTTTGTAAACTGTAGAAACATTTTGTTTTATACATAATTTAAGTGAGTAATGTATTAAAAAATTCGCAGTTTATGTCTTGGGATACAGAATATGTAAATATGTAATTGTATATCATGAAGAACTGAAAGGAGTGAGGACACAGTTTCCATATATTATTAAATTTAAGCTGGTGTAAATTCAAATTAGAGTGTTGGAACTTTTGGATGTTAAATGTAGTCTCCAGGTTAACCACACACACACAAAATAGCAACAGTATATACACAAAAAAATTGACTAACACATAAGAAGATGATAAGGCAACAAATAAGGCAAAAGCACACACAAAAAATGAGGAATATAAAAAGTACACAAAAGACAGAAGTTCCCCCTTATCGGTAATTAATTTAAATATAAATGGATTAAATTATCCAATCAAAAGACAGAAATTCAGAGAATGAATTATAAACATGGCCTAGCTATATGCTGTCTACTAGAAACACACTTTATATCTAAAGACCCAGATAAATTAAAAAGGAAAAGATGAAAAAGGACATTCCATGCAAATAGTTACCTACAGAGAACAGAGGTGACTGTACGAATATTAGAGAAAAGACAATTTAAATTAAAAAATAGTTATAAAAGACAAAACCCATGAATAATAATTTCATCTTTTGTACTTTAAAAATTTTTTACAATATATAACTACATTTATTAAAATATAGCATTTAGAATAAACACCAGGCTATTCCTTTTTAAACATTTAGGTCTTTTCTTTCAGTTGCTATGAATGACAATTTTAATAAAGCAAGAATATATAACAATTATAAATATCTACACATTTAGTAACAGACCATAAAAATATAAGAAACAAAAATAAACAGCATTAAAAAAAATAGACAGTTCTACAATAATAGTTGCAGACTCCAATACTCTATTATCAACAATGGATAGAACACACAAATAAGTAAGGAAATAGAGAACTTGACACAATAAACCAACCAAATGTAACAGACATATATAGAACACTCTACCCATAACTTCGGCATGTACATTCTTCTCAAATGCACACAGGACATTTTCCAGGATATACCTATGATAAACTACAAATTTAGTCTAAATCAATTTTAAAAGATAGATATAATACAAAGTACCTTTCCCAACCACAACAGAATGTAACTAAAATCTTAAAACCAGAAATTCTGAAAAATTCACAAATTTGTGGAAATTAAACAACCATGTTATTAAACAAAATGATTCAAAGAAAACCCCAAGGGAAAGTAGAACATGCTTAGCAAGGAGTGGAAAATGAAAACACACTAGTCGAAATTTAAGGGGAAAGCAAAGATAGTGCTAGGGGAAAAATTAAGAGATACAAGCACTTACATTAAAAAAAAAAAAAACAAAAAAAAAAAACAAGAAAATTCTAATATCGACAATCCAATTTTACATCTAAAAGAACTACAAAAAAGGGACAAATTATACCCAAAGCTAGCAGAAGGAAGAAAATATTAAAGACTAGAGTACAGATAAACAAAATAGAGAATAGAAAAATAGGCCGGGCATGGTAGCTCATGCCTGTAATCCTTGCTCTTTGGGAGGCCAAGGCAGGTGGATCACTTGAAGTCAGGAGTTCAAGACCAGCCTGGCCAACATGGCAAAACCCTGTCTCTACTAAAATACAAAAATTAGCTGGGCGTGGCGGCATGTGCCTGTAATTCCAGCTACTCAGGATGCTGAGGCAGGAAAATTGTTTGAACGTGGGAGGCAGGGATTGCAGTGAGCTGAGATTGAGGCACTGCACTCCAGCCTGGGTGATGGAGTGAGACTCTTTGAAAAAAAAAAAAAAAAAAGGAAAAGAAAAAAATCAACAAAATACAAGTTTGGTCTTCTGAAAAGATAAACAAATGGACAAACCTAGATGGTAAGAAAACAAGAGAAATGACTCACATTACTAGAATCAGAAAGGAAAGTGGGACATTATTACAAAATCTACAGGGAAAAAAGGATTATAAGAGAGTACTATGAGCAACTGTATGTCAATCAATTGGCTAACTTAAATGAATTAGGCAAATTACTAGAAATACCATGTACCATAACTGAAAAATGAAGAAGTAGAAAGTCAAAATAGACCTATAACTAATATGAAAATTGAAGAAGTAATCACAAATCTTCTGACCAAAAAAGCACTGGACTTAGTGGATTCACCAGTGAATCTTACCAAACATTAAAGAAGAGCACCAGTACTTCTCAATTATTAAAAAAAAAATTAGCAGAGAGAACACTCCTTAATTCATTCTATGAACCCAGCATTACTCTGATACCAAAGCCAATTAAAGAGAGTATAAAAAGGGAAAATTATAGACCAAGATTCCTTATGAATGGTGATGTAAATGTCCCCAACAAAATATTAGCAAATTAAATTCAGCAGCGTATTAAAAGGATTTTACACCATGACCAAGAGGAATTTCTGGAATGCAAAAGTGTTTCAACATACAAAAATAAAAAAATGTAATACACCACATTAATAGAAAATAAGGAAGAATAACCATTATGTCAAGTGATGCTTTAAAGTCATTTGATAACATTTAATACCCTTTCATGATAAAACCACTCATGAATCTAGGAACAGAAGAAAACTACCTCAAGATAATGAATACCATATATAAAAAATTCACAGTGAGCATCATAACCAATGGTGAAGGACTAAAAGCTTTTCCTCTAATATCAGGAATAAGACAAGGATGCCTGCTTTTTTCACTTCTATTCAATATAGTTTAGAAGTCTTAACTTGAGCAATGCAAGTGAGAAAAAGATATAAAAAGTATCCAAATTGTCTTCATATTAATATGATCATATATAGAGAAAACCCTAAAAAATACACCAAAGTACTCAGAACTAATAAATGAATTCAGCAAAGGAGCAGGATACAAAGTAAGCATAAAAAAAAATCAGTTGCATTTCTATGCAACAGGCAATGCTGACACTGACAATGAAAATATCAAAAGATTTAAGAAAAAAAAACCTTTTGTTTACAATAGCATCAAAATGACTAAAATATTTGGGAATAAATTTAACCAAGGAGGTGAACTCCAACTTTTTCTAAAAGAAATTAAAGAGGACATAAATAAATGGAAAAACATCCCATGTTCATAGACTGGAAGAGTTAATATTTTTAAAATGTCAGTACTACCCCATAGCAATCTACAGATTCAATGCAATTGCTATCAAAATCCCGATTATGTTTTGTGTTAAAATAGAAAAGCCGATGATAAAATTTCTATGGAATCTAAAGGGACTCTGAATAGCTAAAACAATCCCAAAAAAGAGGAACAAAGCTGGAAGACCCTCACTTTCTGATTTCAAAGCTTAGAATGCTTCAGTAATCAAATCAGCATGGTACTGGCATAAAGACACAGATACAGACCATTGGAATAAAGACTCTAGATAAAAACCCTTGTAAATATGGTCAAATGATTTTTCACAAGGGTATCAATGGAACAAAAGGCTGTATGCAACAAATGGTGCTGGGAAAACTGGATATCCACATGCAAATGAATAAAATTGGACTCTTACCTAACACCATATTAAAAAAGTGAACCGAAAAATGTAACCTTGACCTACAAGTAAGACCTGAAACTACAATACTCTTAGAAAAGAAAACATAAGCTGTTTCATAACATTGGATTTGGCAATACTTTTTCAGATCGGACCCACAGCACAGGCAACAAAAAATATGTATAGACAAGTTAGGCTTTATAAAAATAAAATGTGTGCATCAAAAGACACTACCAATAGAGTAAAAAGTCTACCCACATGTGGGCAAAAATATTTGCAAATAATATATCTGATAAAGGAATTATAGCCAGGATATACAGAGAAATCCTAAAACTCAACACCAAAAACAATCAATTAAAAAACTGGGAACAAACTGAAATAGACATGTCTCCGAGATACAGAGATGGCCAATAAGCCCATGCAAATATGCTCAACATTGTTATCATTAGGGAAATGCAAATCAAAACAATGAGATACCACTTTTTACCCATTAGAATGGCCACTATCAAGAAAACAAAATAACAAGTGTTGATGAGGATGTGAGAAAATTGGAAACTGTGCACTGTAGGTGGGAATGTAAAATAGTGCAGCTGCTTTGGAAAATAATATGTTAGTTTCTAAACAAAATGAGAAAAGTCTTATATGATATAGCATTTCCATTTCTAAGTATATATTGAAAAGAACTGAGAGCAAAATCTCAAAGATATATTTGTATTCCCATGTACACAGCAACATTAAAGCAACTTTAGTTTCTGTAGAAGAACGAACAGATAAGCAAAATATACTATATGCATACAGTGAAATATTATTCATTCTCAAAAAGGAAGGGAATTTTGACATGGGCTATAACACGGATGAACCTTGAGGACATTATAAGTCAATTAAGCCCGCCATGAAGTATAAATATTGTATGATCTCACTTATATGGGGTCCTTAGATTAGTCAAAAATACAGATACAGAAGATACAAAAGATACAGAAGATACTAAAATAGATACAGAAAGTAGAATGATGGGTGCCAGACACTCAGAGAAGGAAGAAATGAGAAGTTATTGTTTCATGGGCCTAGAGTTTTAGTTTTGCAAGATGAACTGTTCCGGAGATGCATGGTGGTGATCACTGAACAACAATATAAATATACTTACATTGGACTATACATTTAAAAGTGGTTAAGATAGTAAATCCTTCTTTGTATTTTACCACAATGAAAATAAATGGAATAAAAAACAAGAACAAAGTAGGACTTGCAGTGCCTGATGGCAAAACTTATTACCCTAAAACTTAAAATATAATAATAATAAAAAAAAAACAAGTTACCACTTTACATCCCTTAGTTTTGCTATTGTAAACAATAAATAAATAAATTGCGAATAACAAAAAAAAAAAAGTTTCAGTAATCCCAACAATTAACGTCAGTCTAGCAGTATATAGAGCCACCACATGTGTACATTCTCATTTAATTTTTCTAAAGGAGTACAGAGCAACCCAATCCAAAGTGGAAAGTGCTTTTACCAAAAGGTACTGAAACACTGGATATTTATGTGGGGAAAAAAATTCCTCAACTTCTACCATGTACTCTTCACAAAAACTAGTTCACATTGGGTCATAAGCCTAACTGTAAAAGCTAAAACGGAAAAGTACAGACTTATGGTTGTTTTCTGTTAGAAAACCGTCTCTCTTTTTCCATTTGGTCATGGTGAGCTTGCCATTCTATTATTCATGATACCCTATACCATGCTGAATGGGTGGACATAGTACTCAGCTGACCTTGCAGAATACCCACGTCTATTGCAAAGCGATTTGTTCATTGAGTAGTACGTGACTTAAACTTTGTCTAACTTTATCTCTCCCTTCTCAATTTTCCTCAAGTTCTTGATATTTTAGAATTGTAAAGATGCATCAATCAGGCAATCATCTATCAATCTATCTATCTTCATTTACATCTTCAGTTGAAAGCAGAAACAAGAGATGAGGAGAACTGTCTTACAGGTTTCTGCATCAAATTATACCTAAAACCATCTCTAAAGTTGGCTTTCCCAATAATTGCATTTTTTTCTTAAACTATTCTGAGAGGTGTTTTCTTTTTTGCATCTGTAGGGGTACCGATTTATACAAACAAGAAGGGAATAATAGTCAAAAGGAAGAACATGACCAAAGTAAAGCAGTATAAAAGAGAATATAATGTTCAGGGTACTGTATTATGTATGTATGTGAGGGTAGGGAGAGCAGGATCAAGTAGTTCAAAAATGAGCCTGGATATGTAAATTGTAGTGACTTTGTGAGGGGCTCGTCGTATCATGTCAGTTCCCTTTACGCCATCATGGGAAGAACGGCATGGTCAGACTTGGACTGTGGGATGGTAACAATAAAGGTAGCTTGTGGAATAGATTCAAATAAAGGAGAGCCTGGAACTGGGAGGAGAGGCATCATTAGAAAAATGTTGCAGTGATTAATGAAAGATTAGCTTCTTCAAATGGTAATGACAGTGGGGGTTGAAATGAGAACAGCATTAGGGAAAATAAAAATCTGAGATCAGAGACACATTTTGTGCAAAAAAAAAACAACTGTCTAATGTGGAATGAAAGAAGAATCCATCATCATTTTGAGATTTCTAATTTGAGTAACTTAGTGGGTGGTAGAGCCATAATCCAGAAGAGGAAGCTCAGATGTGTCAGGGAAACATACTAAAGCATAAATATTCATTGAATTTCCATTTTCTCTCTCTTTTCCCTTCTTTCCCCAATCTCTATGACAGTTGTTGCTGTTATGATTATTACCATCATCATCACTGTAGACTTAGAAACCTAATTGGCTTTTCTAAATTGGGACATATTTCATATAACATAAAATTTACCTTTAAACTATACAAGTCACTGGTTTTAGTATTTTACAAAATTGTGGAATCATTATCATTATCTACTTCCAGAACACTTTCATCATCTCATAAAAAGTCTGACGCCCATTGGTAGTCACTCCCCAGTCCCCCATCCCTCAGCCTCTGGCAATCACTAATCTTTCAGTCCCTACTGGATGTGCCTATTCTGGAAATTTTATATAAACAGAATAGTAGGTGACATTTTGGGTCAGGCTTCTTTCACTTTGCACATGTTTCAAGGATCATCCATGATATAGCATGTTTCAGCATTTCATTTTTTTAATGACTGGATATTTTCCACTGTACAGATATACCATATTTTGTTTCTTTATCAGTCAATGGGCATAATCAAAAAGACAAACAATAACAAGTGTTGGCAAGGATATGAACAAACTGGACCCTCATACATTGCTAGTGGCAATGTAAAATGGTATAGCTGCTTTGAAAAAGAGTTGGGCAGTTCCTCAAAAAGTTAAATAGAGAATTTCTATATGACCCAACAGATCCACTCCTAGTTATATGCACAGGAAAGTAGAAACATGTGTCTACTCAAAAGCTTGCATGTGAATCTTCATAGTAGCATTATTCATAATAGTTTTCATAACAGCCAATAAGTGGATACAAATCAATGTGTACTGATTGGCTTTTGAGATTTGATAATAAGGTTAAAAAGAGATAGTTTTTTTTAAAAGATAACATAAAAAAGAAAATCAAATGCAATCTAAATATTCTAGAACTTCATTAAAATGGATATAGGATGAATGAGAGTAAGAATATTTTTGCATATTAACTTCTGGGATAAATGGACCTGCAAAGAGGTAGATGGAAGAGGACATTCTTTGCAATGGTGTTGCTTGTTATGTAATGTAACTTCCCTTAGCACTTTTTAAAGTGACCTAATGGTAAGTCTTACATTGCTTTACAAGACTAGTTTCTACCTTAAAATGTAGACAAGTTGTTTATATCAGTCTCAGAGGTTTTAATGAGATAATATACGTAAAGTGATTATCAGATACTATTATATTATAATCACATATTAGTATTCATTTATATTATCATCATCATATATACTGTAGCAGAAACAACAGACATAAGTCTCATACAGAATCTTACAAAGGGATCTGATCTGTGATATTTCTGATACCTTTGTATCAACCATAACCTTTGCAATCCAGAAGTCAAACTAGTTATTGAATTTCATGGTATTTTCTGACATAGCACTTGTCAGAATAAAATAAAATATAATGTTGAGACAAGGATATAGGGACAGTGGAAGTCTCCATGAGGTGAACAAAAATTAAATCCTGCACATTGCCAGGTAGTCCAGCACTAGTCCTTCCCTGGACATTAATTATCCACAAGGTTGAATGCTTATTAGGACCTTCTTGAAAAGAACTTTTTGTCAACATCAGTGGGGTCGCATAATGAACAAGGACTCTTGGACATTTCTCTTATTTTTGGCACTGTTACTAGATTGGAACCTGTAAGAATTCCAAGAAAATGTGTGCCCTTTAATGGCACTTACAAGCTTGCATTTTAGAGTTTTGTGCAGAGAGATAATATAAATAGAAACAAGTGAAAAATGACATTTATGAGCCCCAAAGATTTTTTTCAAATGTAGTGTGATTTAGTTCTGGAAATGTCTTCTTTGAAGCCTCAGTTAAAAGGAATTACCTCTCTTTTAAGACCACATGTGAGAAAGTAAATTATCATTAAAAATCACTACGATAAGCAGGTAAAACAAGAGAAATGAAAAATAGATGAATTTACCATGAAGAAACCTAATTAATTACAGCAACTAACATTTACACTTTTCTCACAGTTCTAGACACAACACCCTTCCAAAAGTATAGGTGCCAAATATTTAGCAATCGCATGTTACATAAATTTTGGCATCCCATTCAGAAGACCTAACTCATTCTGCTCCACAATAGTAAACCGCCAATGTTTATACTTTGTTCTCCCAGGACAAACATGGAAGACTCAACAGTGCTTGATTTGTTACCTAGATCTTAAATCCTAGATCTTTTCATGAAATTGGACAATAGCTAGCTTGACTCCCAATTTTGAGCCAAAATTTTGTAATAGTATTCTAATATTTTAAAAGTTGATAAACTTTTAATATTTCTATAACTTTCAGTAGATTTATATCAATTAGAAATCAATGCCTATCAACCTTATAAAAGGAAAAATAAAAGATGTAGTGTCTAATTTCAGCATAGCTGCTGAAAATGAATTAACAAAAACAAGATTACTTCATTCAACAATTTGTACTGTCCACCCTCATAATTGAGGGTAACAGTTTCCTAATGGAAAATCTCCATCAAGTTTGCACCTGTATGCCCAAATCCATTTTTCATTCTGTGTTCAGAGTGGTTTTGATGCAAATCTTATAATGTCAATTCTTAATGGCTTCCCATTTCTTTTAGAATAAGGCCCAAAGTCTTTAATGTGGCCTTCTCAGATGCAGCAAGACGTCCTCCCACTCCTTTTTTTCTAAAACCTCATTTCAGATGACCCTTTAATCCTCACTTTCTGAGTTCCCACCATACTAAACTTCATTTCAGTTCCTCAACTCATCATATGATTTTCCTGCTTCAAAGTCTTTACACATTTTCTTCCTTATTGCTGGAATGCTCTCCACCTCTCTCACCACCATCACTTGGTCAACAAGATGAGATTCTCATTCAGGTTTCAGCTTCAAGTACCACTTAGAAAAATTGTCTCTGACCTACAGGCCCATAACTGGTCTTCTTATTGTATGATCCCATGTCTTTCTATACTTCTTCATAGTACTTATAGTAATTATAATTAATGGTTTATAAAATGATTTAATATATATTATGCTGGGCTGAAAACTCCAAGAAAGTAAGACCCTGTGAGCAAAGGTGAACTTACCATGAAACTAATGAAACTCCAGCTGCAAGGCTCTTACTTGCATGTGTCTCAGCAACTCTTGGGAAGAACTGTAGTAGTGGTTTCACACAGTCCTAGGTTTTTGTAAAATTTGAACAAGTAAGAAATTTTAACCAAAATCAGCTAAGATGACTGTCTGTTTTCACTCTAACTTCCTCTCTCTCATTCTTATAGTTAAATGGTATAGTATTGGAGTGGCCAAGAGCATGCTGGGAGTGCAACTGAGCAGAAGTTGTATTGAGGATACATTTAGGTTTGGCTTAATGGAATTTACTTGTATGGTTTGCTGTCACTCCATTACAGTTAAGTTATTCCTAACTCTCCCTGTGAAAAATGGCTTCCCTTAATACCCCTGCAGAGTGCTGTGTCATTGTGACTTGAAAGTGCATGGCTAGATGTTGTATGCTGAAATAAATACATCCTACACTCCCTGGCATCTGAAGTATGATGTGGGTGGTGGCAAAGGAACAAGGTATGAAAGTAAAAAAAAAAAAAATTAAAAAGCAGAGGGTAACCTATGGAAAATTCTTCCAAAGAAAGGCTTTCCTCATCTCTAAATACTTAGAGTGTTTGGTAACACTTTAAATTGGTATTGCCAATAACAACTTGTGTTGCTAAAATAAACTTTTTAACTCAGTAAGAAAAAAGAATCAATTATCTCCATTAGATGAAAAAAATTACTTACACTCCTATAGAAAAACAATTATAAAATTTGTGTTATACAAAGAGGCACTCAAGCAGTTTTAGTAAAAACATGTATCTAGGAAGAATATTACAGGTACAAAATATAAAATGTTAATTTTTGATTTTTTAATGTAATGGTGGTGGTAATGGTCAGACTTATAACTGTATAATTTATAATTTCTTTTCTCCTTCTAAATAATGTTACTTTTTTTAGCCTTGATTTTGTATTCATTTTCTTAAAGAGGATTTCCCATATTGTACAATTTTCTTTCTTTTTTTTTTTTTTTTTTTTTTTTTTGAGACAGGGTCTTTCTCTGTCACCTGGGCTGGAGTGCAGTCATATGACCAGGGCTCACTTGACCTCCCGTGCTCAAATGATTCTCCCACCTCGGCTTCCTGAGCGGCTGGGACTACAGGCATGTATTGTACAGTTTTCAAGCTCTACAAAATCTGGTTTTTCTCTCTGCATCATCATTTAGTGCTGCATTTAGAAGCACAAAATATAATGCCTGTCAATGGTAGATACTACATAAGTATTTATGAACAAATGGCAATTTGATATTATAGTTCATTTATTATATAAAGTAAATCTGTGGTCATTGATTTTTCTTTAATATATATCTACTGGTTTGACAGAATTATTCTTTCCAGTTCTAGTTACTGATTGGGTCAAAAAAAGAAAGTGAATTTTTAAGTATTTATTGAATACTTTTACAGACAAGAAACTCATACTTAAGGCATTTATTCTTGGTCAGAGCTTGTAAGTATTAAAAAATTGGATCACAATCCAGAATTTCCCATTAATTTTCATCCATATTAATAGATGCTGACCATACTGAGAGTTTTGCAAGCCCCAAATATGCTACACATTTTTAATTCTTAATGAGTTCATCCTCTATCTTTGAACAATGTTACTTTGTTCCATATGTTTATGAGTAAAATGATCAATTTTTGTTCTTTACAAATAACCTTAAAATTATGGTATAAATACTGTCTTAGAAAAAGCTCAAGGCTAGGGATGGTGGCTCATGCCTCTAATCCCAGGAATTTGGGAGACCAAGGTGGGACAATCACTTGAGCTCAGGAGTTAGAAACCAGCCAGGGCAACATCGTGAGACCTCACCTTTACAAAATTTTAAAAATTAGCCAGGCATGGTAGTGTATGCCTATAGTTCCAGCTACTCGGGAGGCTGAAGCAGGAAGATCACTTGAGGCCAAGAAATTGAGGCTGCAGTGTGCTATGAAAGAGTACATTTTTCTCCTGCATTTTACATAATGCATTTTCTTCTGCATATTACATAAAATATTCCATGTTTTTAATATATATGTTGGAAAGAAAATATGCTTAATTGTAGATTGTTTGTTTGCATATATTTTTTAAAAATTATAAGTGGGTGAGTTTGTGAGAATATTTTGTTAGTAATCATATAAACTTAAAGACATTTTAGTTATTTGTTTTGTGAATGCTATTTGCATTAATTAGGACTATACAGGAAGATATCAGCCGTAAAGAAAATTACATATAAATGATAACATGCTAATAAATACCAGATACTTCTAGAAGAGAATGATCAGGATTCCTAACTATTATCATTGTTAGTATTTCAATCCTCAAAGTATTAAATAATAA
Organism: Homo sapiens; assembly: GCF_000001405.40. Lineage (NCBI taxonomy): Eukaryota > Metazoa > Chordata > Mammalia > Primates > Hominidae > Homo > Homo sapiens. The sequence goes on along the minus strand of NC_000005.10, from coordinate 165,813,883 downwards.
TTAGTTCTGTTTTCCACCAAAGGTCCCATTCCAAGCATGGAATTACTTTCTAGAGCCATCAGAAATGTGAGCACAGGGTCTATAATTTTAGTTTTCATAGGGAATATATTCTCAATTTTTTTCACCTGCTCCACAGTCAGCCAACATTCAAGAATGCCGATTATAAAAGAGCAGGCATTGTTGCATTCATGTTGATCACCCTTTTCTCAGATTTTAAAATGATTATTTGATAACCAGCAAGTGGTTTACTGTATAAGGAGCCACTCTAGTCACATCTCTCCATTAAAAGCTCATGTCTCAGCAAATTATAATTGCATGTTCTCCCCTTCTATTCCCAAATTTCTAGAAATCATAATTGTAGAAGAACTATATGGACTTTTTATTGGTGGTTTGTATTAGTCAATTACCAGATAATTTGTAGGAAACACTTATGAAGGAGGTGATTCTGAGTCCTGCATTCAAATAGAAGAAGAAATCTCATGTAAATCTTGAACTGAGAGGATTGACTCGATGTTAATACATCACAAATAAGATTAGCTGAATGAGCCAAGTACCACAGTTTTTTTAACTGTGCGAATTTCCATCCTTATTTTTCAGGAAATTATTGAGTAAACTATATTACATCTTCAGCTTTCTATAATTATAGTATTACTCTTATGCACTTCTGAGTTCCACAGCAATTTATTTCTCTAAATGATTTGTAAATGTACTGTAATGCTAACTAGAGATGTTCAGAAAAGATGGTTCCTCTCATAGATTTCTAAAACGAAGATTCGACTCCTGTAAAATCAAAGCCAGTCTTTTAAGCAAATAGAGTGAGAAGACAGCAACCTGGGTAAATTTGAGGACTAACAGATGGCTCCTGTTTTACAGATATTCTCATTACTGAGTTCTACTTTTTTTTTTTTTTTTTTTTTTTTAATGAGACAGAGTTTCGCTCTGCAACCCAGGCTGGAGTGCAGTGATGCGATCTCAGCTCACTGCAACCTCTGACTCCCTGGTTCAAGCGATTCTCCTGCCTCAGCCTACTGAGTAGCTGGGACTACAGGCGCGTGCCACCACGCCAGGCTAATTTTCTGCATTTTTAGTAGAGACAGGGTTTCACTGTGTTAGCCAGGACGGTCTCGATCTCCTGACCTCGTGATCTGCCTGCCCTGGCCTCCCCGGTGAACCACCACACTCGGCCAGAATTCCGCATTTTTATTATTAGATTCTCTTTCCCAAAATGAGTTGGAAGACCAATTGGCAAGAGAAGACAACCATGGTTTATCCCTAGAAATCTATGCTGCAAAATGTGACCTGGGCCCTGAAAAAACATGGGCAGGAGAAGTTTATTACTTTAATACTTCGGTGTGTGTGTGTGTGTGTGTGTGTGTGTGTGTGTGTATATATATAAAATTTAATTTTCAGATTGGCTAGTAATAACATTGGAAAAAAGAGATGAAATTATAACAGCAGGAAATAAAGAACAGAAAATTTTGGCTTGTTTCCCCAAACATTTCTTCCACATCATCAAGACTAGGAAGATGAGAGGATAGAAAAGAAAGGTCTAGAGCCATGCTACCTGGGAGAAGAACGGCCATAAATGAACTGTATCTGCGCTACAATTATACTTAAAACACTTCCAGACGGCCGCAGTGGCTCACACCTGTAATCCCAGCACTTTGGGAGGCCAAGGTGGGCAGATCACGAGGTCAAGAGATCGAGACCATCCTGGCCAACATGGTGAAACCCCGTCTCTACTAAAAATACAAAAATTAGCCAAGCGTGGTGGCGATCGCCTGTTATCCCAGCTACTCAGGAGGCTGAGGCAGGAGAATCGCTTGAACCAGGGAGTCAGAGGTTGCAGTGAGCCGAGATCACGCCACTGTACTCCAGCCTGGTGACAGAGCGAGACTCTGTCTCAAAAAATAAATAAATAAAATAAAATATAAACAACAACAACAACAACAAATACTTCCTAGCTTGAGATGGCAAAGGTAATGGATATTGGGGGAAAAAAAGTACAGAAGATCTCTATAGCAACGCAAAGAGAACAACAAACAAAAGAAAAATATGGTTTTCGACTTATAGAAGTAGTTCATGCATATTCATGTTCCTTTAAGACTTCCAAATGAGTAAATAACAGGCAGTTTTATAGCAATTACTAGATTCCAATATTTATAGAAAACTGACCACCACGAATACATAATTATTCTATTATGTCCACCCTAATGAATGGAAAGACTATTTATTCATTTACCATGACACAATATAAAAATCTTGTTTGCTTCCTTGCCATGCAGAAGTAAATTCAAACACTTGGTAAGAAAATATGTGGACAGAATATCTATTTTAAAGAAATTCTATTTGTATGAGATTAATATACAGAATTTGGATACAAACATGCGGGAATGTATTATTTACTTCAGCAATAATAAAGCCAGATTTGACTTAAAATAGATGAAAGTGGATACATTTATTCCTCTCATGAACTTCACTTTGAGAATCTGGGTGTTTGGCAATGTTCACTTATGCTTTTATATGAGTAATTACATATTTAATTGTGTCACTGTTTATTCTTGATGGAATGACAGGGAACATTATGAGTACTACTTTGAATAGTAGTAAGGAAATTTTAGCAAAATCTATATAAAATTATTTCACTAAGTTAGAGAAAAAGTAATGGAATCATCATTTTCATGTGTTACTTCAAAATTAAAATAGATGGATATTTGTCAAAACAAAAACAGAGGCCTAATTTAAAAATGTACTTTTGGGACTTTTTTTTCCACATAAGTGTTCCAGTTATTGATATCCCATGTGGTAGAATTGGCCAATGGAGATGATAGAGCACTACATAAAACAATTCTTTTTTTTTTTTTTTTTTTTTTTTTTGAGATGGAGTCTTGCTCTCTCCTCCAGGCTGGAGTGCAGTGGCCCGATCTCGGCTCACTGCAACCTCCGACTTTCGGCTTCATGCCATTCTCCTGCCTCAGCCTCCTGAGTAGCTGGGACTGCAGGCGCCCGCCACCACACCGGGCTAATTTTTTAATATTTTTGATAGAGACGTGGTTTCACCGTGTTAGCCAGGATGGTCTCGATCTCCTGACCTCCTCGTGATATGCCCGCCTCGGCCTCCCAAAGTGCTGGGATTACAGGCTTGAGCCACTGCGCCCGGCCCTTGTTTTTTTGTTTTTTTGTTTTTTTGTTTTGAGTATGTCAACAACTAACTACTAACACCCCACTTGCTGTGCGCATGCCACCATTGGTAGAGTGTTTTTTGTTTTCTTTTTGAGACAGAGTCTTGCTCTGTAGCCCAGGCTGGAGTGCAGTGGCACGATCTCAGCTCACTGCAACCTCTGCCTCCCGGGTTCAAGCGATTCTCCTGCCACAGCCTCCAGAGTAGCTGGGACTATAGGCTCTTGCCACCACGCCCAGCTAATTTTTTATATTTTTAGTAGTGGTGGGGTTTCACCGCGTTAGCCAGGATGGTCTCGATCTTCTGACCTCGTGATCTGCCTGCCTCAGCCTCCCAAAGCGTTGGGATTACAGGAGTGAGCCACCATGACCAGCTGGTAGAGTTTTATGTGTATTAATTCATTTAAATATATGATGCAGGCTTTATGATTACATTCATGTTACAGATCAGGAAACTGAGTCACAAAGAGGTTCAAAGGTTATCTGAAACCACACAGCTAAACAGAAATTCACTCTGCAGCAATATGGTTTCAAGTCTGAGTGCTTTCACGATGCTATAGCAGTTCTCACTTTTCACCACAGCACAGATTCAATGGACTACTGGTTAAGCAGAGGAGGGAAATGGAACTGTAAGTGGCACATAAAACAGAGTGGTTCCAAATGGGAAATATAGATTAATGACAACGTCTAAGCCTTCAACTTTCTAATAAGATAATTTTGCATTGTCTCTCTTAAATCCTATCGTAATGTTTGGTTAAATGAAATTATTAATAGTATTATTAGCTTCATATTTTATATTAGTAATCTGAGGCTTAAAAATGTTGGTCAACTTGCCCAAGCTTACACAGAGGGCAAGTGCTAGAGCTCAGGATTAAAACAGTGGTTTAACTCTGGTGGATACTCCTAATCACTAGGCTTAGTACCTTTTTGCAAATCATTTCATCTTTGTAATCCTTGTTCACTCATCAACGGTGGAAAAATATTCATTTAGATTATCTCAGAATTTCAGGCTAATACTTCGATGGTTACAAATGCCATGTGTTCAATGACCATATGGAGCAGTTAGTTTTGTGGAGGCCTTGCAATGCCATGCCCTTGCTTACAAGGTAGAGGTGTGCAGGTGGATTTACAAATAAAATTCATTTCTGCCAGAATGCCAACTTGAAATGTTCACCCCCATGAGGATAGTGCATACAAACTGACAGCCAAAAACATTAAATCATGAAGTAGAGGTTTTAAAAATCTCATATCCATTTCTTGAAATACAAAATACTGACCCTCTGAAAATTTAATTTATCTAAACATATCTAAAATCTCATTGATGTTTGATTTTATTAGAGATAGCAGTGACCTACAAGACTAGAATTCAACCAAGGTTTTGATATTTATTTGGTGATTTTAAATCTTAAAGATTTTGACCAAATAAATTAACTTTGTGTTAAGTACTTTCATTTTTCTGCCTCTCATCTTAGCTTTTATAATTCTATATAAAGTTTTGAGGGTTGGTGGGGGGAGGTCAAAAATAAGGAAATATTCCTGCATAGTATGGTCAGTTAAGAATAAGTACTCGTTTTTCATTGTTGCAAAGCTAATACCAAATGTGTTGAACTCCTTAGGGAATAAAAACTGCATAAAAGCAAGGGCTATTATATCTATAAGCACATAATTTACCTTATAAATGTGAGCACACATATATTTGCCATCCTATGGGAATGAATGAGAACAAGTACACTAGGGAATTTTGTTTCATTTCAGCAGAAAACTAGAATATGGCAATGTATTAAAATTATTCATTGCAGAAATAAGTCTCTAAATACGACTAGTAATGCATATAGTCCTTACATTCAACATTGAAGAAAATGTTTTCACTATGCATATTCTTTGATAAATGTTGCCAAAAGTTTCAATTATTTGTATCACATACAGCAAAGTTGGTGAATGGAGATTTTAGAAATACTGACTACAAGAGTTCACACACTGCTCTTTAAATAATTTATTTATTTACTTACTTATCCATTCTATAAATTTCTCTACCTAAGCATGCTTGCAGACAACCTCAGACTTTCTTAATACTTCATTGTTTCTTTTACGTTTAAATCCCATAAAGCTGTATCGTCATTTATCTCATTCCTAGAGTATCAGTCAGAATTGCAGATTCAAATATTGTTAAGTTGCATAAAGTAAGGAGAGTCATGTTCCTTGTTGTTTACCCAATATGAACATGTATAATCTTACAAATGAAAGTAAATACAATGTAATGTTCAGTAATGTTTGATAATATGTGATTCTCGGATTGGCAATCCTAGTGATTCACTACATTTTTTGCCAACAGAAAATAAATTGTTCTTGAGAAGGAAAAATAAAAATGAAGGAATTTAGCCCTGTCTTCTATAAGCCTATGAGTTAGAAACAGAAGCAAAAATATATTAGCATTAGTAACAGTACGTAAAATGTAATGAGGGCTTATTAAATACTAAGGCTTATGCTAAGACTTATGTGCATACTAACATTTACACCTTATAGCAAACCAATAAGTTATTCACTCTTATTTAGAAAAATAATTTTACCCTCCCCCCCCAAAAAAAAAAACTGAAGTAAATTAGGCAACTTATCCAGGGTCACATGTCTTTTAACCAAAGAGTTGTAATTCAAACTAAAATCTGTTATTAATATTTTTTATTTTAGTTAATAACCATGCATGAGAATTTAATAACCATTTTAATTGACTACTAAGCGTTTAGAACCATGCTGGGAGCTACAGTGAGTATAAAAAAGTAATAGATCCTAGTTATTGCTCTTTGACCATGATATAGTTATTTTAAAATGTTTAATGATATGATAATATGACTAAGTTTAAAACTGAGTGATAAATTAATAAGTATTATATAACTATTTTTAAAAATAGTACATGCAGCATAGCGGCTTACTAAATGAGAATAGAGTTATAAGTGGCCTTATAGAAGTCTCATGTTAAAAACGTATTAGCAGTATATTAGAAGAAACAGAAAAATTTTAAACTGCATATCCTCATTTCAGTGTTGGCAATCATCTAAACACAGGATACATTTAAATGACAATAACTTCTCTAGTCAATTAATAGAATATATCTAATAAGCAAGCATTCTTCTGATACAGATATGTTAGAGTAACTCATCTGCCATCTATTCTCTGTCTCAAAACAAGGCTACATATTACGGAAGATCACATGTGGGTGCCTAAGAGCTATCTGTAATTAATTTAATTGTTGTTTTCTTAATTCAGTATGGCATGTCAAAATGTTTAGCAATGGAATTCCAGGGTTTATGTGAGGATAATGACAATAGCAAAGTGTCTAGAACAGAAACTTGGCTGAGGGGTGGAAGCTCTGTGAAGAAATAGGTCCCCCCGATTTAGCACCTTTCTTAAAAAGAATAAAAATAAACAAATCAATTAATTTAAAAACTTTTTAAAAAGGAGAGCAGAATAGCTTAAAGACCATGATAAAATAACATATTAAAAGAGGAAGTATAAAAAAACAAAACTGGCCAGGTGCAGTGGCTCACGCCTGTATTCTCAGCACTCTGGGAGGCAGAAGCAGGTGGATCACCTGAGGTCAGGAGTTCGAGACCATTCTGCCCAACATGGCGATACCCTGTTTCTACTAAAAACACAAAAATTTAGCCAGGCATGGTGGTGGGTGCCTGCAATGCAAGCTGCTCAGGGGGCTGAGGCAGGAGAATTGCTTGAACTTGGGAGGCGGAGGTTGCAGTGAGCCAAGATCACACCATCGCTCTTCAGCCTGGATGACAGAGCAAGACTCTGTCTAAACAAAACAAAACAAAACAAAAAACTATGTGACACATAGAGGAGGGAATGAAATTATATGTCTGTGATTGGAGCATGGGAAAGTAAAGTATGAAAGACGCATGTGATAGAATACTTTGCAGAACATAGATGCAGAAATCTAACGTGCACAAAATAGGCATCTATCTAAAAAGACAACGCTGATTAAAACAATAAATAGAAAGAGGTTTAAAACAGAAAGCACCCTATAAAACATAAATATGTGAAGAGAAAGCGACATCCACTTATTACTTATATGCTTACCAACTATGTGCCAGGCATGGTTTAAGGTGTTTGATACATTGGTTGGGGGTTAGGGAGTGAATGAAACCCAATGAAACAAAGCTCCCTGCCCTCATTAATAGTACAATGTGTCTGAGAAGAGACAGATTATAAACAATAATCAAACAGACAACTAATTAGTGATAAATGTTATTTAAAAATTAAATAGGGTAGAGAGAGGGTGAGCATACTAGGAGGAGCTTACATACAATTAAATTGTGTTATTGGGAGTGGAGACAGAGCAAGATGGCTAAATACAAGACTTCACCAGTCATTCTCACTGTAGGAACACCAAATTGAACAAAACACCTTCTTAAGAACCAAAAATCAGGTGAGCAGTCATAATAACTCTTGCCACTCTATCATAGGGGAAAGCAACACAAAGAGAACTCAGCCGGCAGCCATGGAGGGAACATATAGTCCAGCCCTAGCCAGAGGGAAATTGTCCATCCCTGCAGCTGGAACTTCCGTTTCAGCAAGCCTCACCACCATGGGCTACAGTGCTCTGGGATTCTAAATAAAATTGAAAAGCAATCTAGACCACAAGGATTGCAATTCCTGGGCAAGTCCTCATGCTGTACTGGGCTTGGAACCAATGAACTAGTGAGACACCAGCTGGCTCAACCAAGAAAGTGATAGCACCACCTCTCAAAAATCACAGGCACCACAGCTCACGGCTCCAGGAAAGATTCTTCTCTGCACGAGAAGAGGAGAGGGCGGAGTAAAGAGGACTTTGTCTTGCAACTTGGATAACAGCTCAGCCACAGTAGGATAGGAAACTGGGTAAAGTCCTGAGATGCCCATTCTACACCATAGCTCTCAGATGACATTTCAAGACACACTCTGTACCATAAGGGAACCCATTGCCTTGAGGGGAAGAAACCAGTACATCTGAAATGTACTTTGAGTGTCCTGCGTTTTTTCAGGCAAGCATATACTCTAGCTTTTTCCCCTGTTCCATCTTTAATTCTCTTAAATGTCACCTAGTCCCTCTCCACATTTTCTTCTCTGGTATGTTGAGAGGATGTTGCCACTGATGGAAACAAACTTTGAAAAACTGTTTTTGGAGCTTAGAAAACTTTTGTAAAAGCCTCATTTTAAGTTAGGCTTGACAGTGATTTCGTTCATGGGGATAAAAAATACCAATTAAATTCAAATGTGAGCTGAGTTGAAGGGGCATAAAATGTTGTTAAAGCTGTAGGGCACAAGTTTACTTAGGTAGTAAATTTTCTTGGAGCGAGTTAAGAACATTATCACAAATTTTGTTCCCAATTGAAATAAAAGAAATTTTAAAAACAACAACACAAATAAATTTTGGAGGGTGTTTACTGATAATCTGGTAGAACAGCACTGTTCAACAGAAAAATAATGCACACCACATTTGTAATTAAGTTTGCTAATCACATGAACAAAAATAGGTAAAATAGTTGTATTTATATTATTTAATTCAATTTATCCAAAATATCATTTCAACATGTAATATAGAAAATCGACATTTTTAAAAAATTTTTGTACAAAGTTTTAAAAAGTCCAATGTGTTTTTTACACTAGCATTAAATCTAAATTTGAGCTATGCTACCTTTAAAGTGTTGGACAGTCACATGTGGCTAGTGATTACCATATGAGGCCGTGTAGTTCTAGAGAAGCAATACTGGAGGTAAAACAGGTATCAGGGGATTAAAAGTGGTAGAGAATGGGAGGCAGTTAGTTATTTCAAAACTGAGAGAATATGGCCAGGTGTAGTAGCTCATGTCTGTAATCCCCATGCTTTGAGAGGTCAAGGTAGGATGACCACTTGAAGTCAGGAATTCAAGTGGTCATGAACGGCGATATAGTCTGGGCAACATAGTGAGACCCCATCGGTACAAACAAGTTAAAAATGAGCCATGCATAGTGGTACATGCTTGTCATCCCAGCTACTTGGGAGGCTCAGCTGGGAGGATCGTTTGAGCCCAGGAGTTTGAGGCTGCAGTGAGCTATGATCATGCTGCTGACCTGCAGCCTCAGTGACAGAACAAGACCCTGTCACATTTATTTTATAAAATAAAATAAATTGGGATAATCTGTTTAATAGAAAAACACATACATAGATACCAATGATAATTATAGCTCTGATATTAGAGAAGCAAACTTCTCTCCAACTTCATTTGTCATACATAAATATTGTGAAATGATTACCACAATCAAGCTAATTTCATATCCATCATTTCACAGATACCGTTTGAGAGACAGCAAGAGAGAAAGAGAGAATGTGTGAGAGTGTGTGAGTGTGTGTGTGGTCAGAACACTTAAGATCTACTCATAGCAAATTTCAAGTATACATTACATTGTTAACTACAGTCACCACGCTATACATTAGATCTGCAGAATTTATTCACTCTGCATAACTGAAACTTTGTACCCTTTCGGTAACATCTATTTTCCATAACCCCACCCCCCACCCTGTCCCTGGTAACCATTATTTAACTCTCTATGAGTTTGATTCTTTAAGATTCCACATGTAAAGTGATATCATGCATTAGATGTCTTTCTGTGTCTGGTTTATTTCAGTCAGCATCGTGTCCTTCAGGTTTGTCCATGTAATGTCAGTGTCATATGTCAGGATTTCCCTCTTTTAATAGGCTGAATAATATTATTGTAATAGTCAACATAGAATTGGATAACCAGTAAACCATCCTTGAATATTGAGTGCAAAATAAAAACATTTTCAAGGAGAAAGAAATTTAAAGAGAAAGACAGATACCAAGAGAGTGTTTATAACAGATCTTCACTAACTTCTAAAGCAAATTGGAAATAAGAATATGAAAATGTTCCTGGAAATCCAATATGCAAAAAGAAAACATGAGCAATGAAGTTGTCAAACTTGTAAGTGAAATATAAACACTGTCTATATATATAGATATAAAAAAACCTCTTACTACTAGTATCATCTATTTTTAAATGTAAAGTTTAAAGGAACACGAATATAAAGAGAAAAAATAAAAGCAATACAAATAATAAGATGGTAAAAACAAATTAAAATATAAACATTAGTAGTTATAATAAATTCACACATATGAAAACATACCAGTTAAAACAATATTAATTGGATTAAAAGCAGTTAATTTAAGGGTATATTTTTTAGAAGTACCTAAAACCTATAGACATATAAAGGTTAAAATACTAGGATCAAAAAGATGTACAACATAATTAGACACGTTGATTACATATCTACAGTAGCTTGCAGCGAACAAGAAAATAGATTTTCTCAAGCTCATATGAAAAATTAAAAGTAAAAATATGGATGAATACAAAGCTATGAGACAAGTCTGATAAATAGAAAATAAATAAATATTATATAACATTTTCCTTGGTCACAGCAATTTGATTTTTAGTCAAAATGAAAAAAAATAAATGAAAAGTCTACAATTGGAAATTTAAAAATACGTGAAGAACTCCTGGGTCAAAGAAAAAATTATAATGTGTATTATAAAATACATAGCATTTAATCATAAAAATTCTTCATATCACATTTTTTGAAAGGCAGTAAAACTGGTACTGTGGGAAATGTACATGCTTAAGTTCTTATAATGAAGGATGATTACAATTAAAATTCAAATTGTTCAATTTATGTTTAAAAAATCAACAGAAAATCCCACAGAATATAGAAAGGACATAGAAAATTTCACAACAAAATTGATGAAATGGAAAACAGGCATAAATAGAGGTTCAATACCACCAAAAGTAGTTCTTAGAAAACATTGAGCGAGGAGGAAAGGAACATTAAAGAAGACTAGGAATACAAACAGTTATACTATAACTACTTCAGATATTTTAAGTGATAAGAAAAAACATGAACATAATGCATTAAATACAAAAAACAGATGACATATGTAATTTCATAGAAATATAACTTTCTAAAAGTAAATGTTGAAAAAGTAGTAGAAATAGAATTGTCTTTAAAAATTAAAGAAATTAGTAAAGATCAAAAGAAAAACCAAGTCTATATTTTTCCGTAGAAGAACAATTCTATTTGTCCATAGAAGAAATCAGAAAAAAACCAGGTCAATTAAAAAAAAATTGTATCGTGGTAAAATACATATAACATCAAATTTACTATCTTAATCATATTTAAGTGTACAATTTGGTGGTATTATCTAAATACATATTGTTGTACAATCATCACCACCATCCATCTCCAGAACTCTTAATCTTTCAAAACCGAAGCTCTATGCTCATTAAACAATAATCCCCCATTTTCTGCCTCTGCAGTCCCTGGTAACTACCATCCTACACTCTGTATGATTTTGACTGCTAAGTGCCTCAGGTAAGTGGAATCATTTGTATTTGTCTTTTGTGATTGGCTTATTTTACATAGCATAATGTCCTCAAGGTTCATCCATGTCATGACATGCTTCAGAATTTCTTTCCTTTTGAAGACAGAATAACAGTCTTTCATATGTATGTAGCACATTTTGCTTATCCACTCGTCACTTGAGTTGCTTCCACATTTTAGCTGTTGTAAACAATGTTGCTATGAACATAGGTGTGCAAATATTTTGTAGTCACCCAGTTTTCAGTAATTGCAAGTATATACCCAGAGGTAAAATTGTTGGATTACATGGTAATTCTATTTCTAGCTTTGAGAAAAACTGCATATTGTTTTCCATAGAAGCTATATTTTGCGTTTCCACTAACACTGTGCAGGGTATCCACATCCTCACCAAAACTTATTATTTTGTGCTTTAGTGATGCTAGTCATCCTAAGAGAATATGAGGTGGTGTCTCAAGGTAGGTGTGAGTTGCATTTCCCTAATGATTCGTGATGTTGAATGTTTTTCATGTGTTTATTCACCATATGTATAACTTCTGTGGAGAAATGTCTAATTAAATCCTTTGCTCTTCTTTGAATTAAGTTGTTTGTTTTGTTGCTGAGTTTTCCGTGTTCTTTATTGTGGATATTAATCCCTTGTTACATATATAATTTGCAAATATTCTTTCCCACTTGGTGGATTGCCATTTTACTCTGTTAATTGTGTCTGCTGACACTCAAATTTTTAAGAATTTCACAAAGTCCAATTTAACTATTTTTTTCCTTTGTTACCTCTGTTTGTGGTATATATCTAAGTAATCATTACTAAATCTAATGTTGTGAAAGTTTTGCCATAGGTTTTCTTCTAATAGTATTCTAGTTTTATGACTTACATGTAAGTCATAAATTCATTCTGAATTAATTTCTGTACATGGTTTTACATAAGGGTACGACTTCATTCTTTTGCATGTAGATATCCAGTCTTTTCAAAATCTTTTATTGAAAAGATTGTCTTTTCAAAATCTTTTATTGAAAAGATTGTCTTTTCAAAATCTTTTATTGAAAACATTGTCTTTTCAAAATCTTTTATTGAAAACATTGTCTTTTCAAAATCTTTTATTGAAAAGATTGTCTTTTCAAAATCTTTTATTGAAAACATTGTCTTTTCAAAATCTTTTATTGAAAACATTGTCTTTTCAAAATCTTTTATTGAAAAGATTGTCTTTTCAAAATCTTTTATTGAAAAGATTGTCTTTTCAAAATCTTTTATTGAAAAGATTGTCTTTTCAAAATCTTTTATTGAAAAGATTGTCTTTTCAAAATCTTTTATTGAAAAGATTGTCTTTTCAAAATCTTTTATTGAAAAGATTGTCTTTTCAAAATCTTTTATTGAAAAGATTGTCTTTTCAAAATCTTTTATTGAAAAGATTGTCTTTTCAAAATCTTTTATTGAAAAGATTGTCTTTTCAAAATCTTTTATTGAAAAGATTGTCTTTTCAAAATCTTTTATTGAAAAGATTGTCTTTTCACCCATGAATGATCTTGGCACTGGTCAAAAATCATTTGACCATATATATGAGGATTTGTCCCTGTAATCTCTATTCTGTTCCATTGGTCTATATGTTTGTCTTTATGACAAGCACGGAACTGTTTTGATTATTGTATCTGGTAGTAAGTTTTCAAATCAGGAATCATGAGTCCTCCAGCTTTATTCTACTTTTTCAGGATTCTTTTGGCTATTTGGGGTCCCTTGAGATTACATAAAAATATTAGAAAGGGATTTTCTATTTCTGCAAAAAGCATCATTCAGATTTTGACACTCCTTACATTAAATCTGTTGATTGCTTGAGATAGTATGGACATCTTAACAAAATTAAGTCTTCCAAGTCAGGAACATGGGATATCTTTCCATTTATTTATATCTTCCTTAAGTTATTTCATAAAAGTCTTGTAGTTTTTGTGTTTTTTGTTTTTGTTTTTGAGACAGTCTTGCTCTGTTGCCCAGGCTGGAGAGCAATGGCGTGAGCTCGGCTCACCACAACCTCCACCTCCTGGGTTCAAGCGATTCTCGTGTCTCAGCCTCCCACATAGCTAGAACTATAGACATGTGCCACTATGCCCAGCTAACTTTTGTATTTTTAGTAGAGACAGAGTTTTGCCATGTTGGCCAGGCTGGTCTTGAACTCCTGGCCTCACAAAATCCGCCAGCCTCGATAAATGTCTCGTAGTTTTTATTGTACAAGTCCTTCACCTTCTTGGTTAAGTTGATTCCTATATAATTTTTTATGCAATTGTAAATACAATTTCTCTTACTTCTATCTTTTGCTATTTTAAAAATGCTCCTCACAGTTTTCTGGGTCCTCATTTTTGCTTTGTTTCTTTTGCATTAGTAGATTTCTGTACTGAACTTTTTACATTCCCATTATTTCCTTTTGTGCATATTCTATAGCTATATTCTTTGCGGTTGCCTTTAGGATTATATTTACCATATTTAACATATTTAAAAATTACAGCAGTTAAATTTGAACTTATACCATTTTAACTTTAATAACCTACAAAAACTCTGTTTTTTTAACAAATCCATCTCTACTCCTTTTAGTTATTGATGTTGTAAAACTATAGCTATATACATCCTATCTCCAAAAACATAAACTAATAACTTATTTAATATATTAGTCTTCAAATTATGTAGAAAAGAAATGTGGACTACAAAGCATGGTTATAACAATACTAGCTTTTAGATTAATAATTTTAATGTATTAGCCTCTTTAATCATGTAGAAAACAAAAATTGGAGCCACACAGCATTATTACACTAATAGATTTTATATTTACCCATGTATTTATCTTTACCGAGATCTTCATTTCTTAAAATGGCTTTCAGTTACTTTCTAGTATCCTTTCAGTTCAACTTACAGGACTCCCTTAAACATTTCTTGAATGGTAGGTCTAGCGGGAACAAATTGCTTCAGCTTTTGCTTATCTGGGAATGTTTCAATTTCTGTCTTAATTTCTCCCTCATTTTAAAGGACAGTTTGTTAGAAATAGAATTATTGATGGACAGTTTGTCTTTTTTTTCTTTGAATATATTAGCCAACTGCCTACTGGCCTCCAAAGTTTCTAATGACAAATGTACAGATAATTTTATTGAAGATCTTTTGTATGTGATGTGTCACTTCTCTGTTGTTGTTTTCAAAAATCTGTCTTTGGCTTTCAACAGTTTTAGTTCATCCTGCTTGGAATTGGTTTATCTTTTAAAATGTTTAAATTTATATATTTCATCAAATTTGGGAAGTTCATCGACCCAATCATTACTTATATCAATTTTTTTGTCCCTTTCACCTTCTTCTGGGACTCCCATATTGTATATGTTGGTTCACTTGATATCCTACATGTCTCTCTTGTTCTTTCCATTCTTCTTCAATCCTTTTTCTTTCTGTTTGTCTGACTTGATAATTTCCATTGTTTTACCTTCAAGGTTCACTGATTCTTTCTTCTGCCTAGTCAAATTTGCCTTGAATCCCCTCCCTAGTGAATTAATCACTTCGATTATTATACTTTTTAGCTTCAGATTTTCTTTTTTGTTTCTCTTTAGATTTTCTGTCTCTGTATTGGTTATTTCTATTTGTTCATATATCATTTTCTTGACTTTCTTCATGTGTTAATTTTTGAGCAACATTAAGACAATTGCTTTAACGTGTTTGTTTAGTAGGTATGCCATCAGTTGTTTCTCAGGGATAGTTTTGATTGTTTTACTTTTTTGCCTTAAATAGGCCCAATTTACCTCTTGCATGCCTTGTAATTTTTTGTTGAAAACTGGATAGTTGAATATAATAATATGCAGGTTCTGGAAATCAGATTCTCACACTTCCCCAGGTATATTTTTTGATTTTTAAAAAATTGTCATAGCCTGAGTATTTGTGAAAATCAAGTTGAAGTGTATATTTAATATCTTCTCAGTTGTTTTCTGAGCCTGTGTTTTTCCCTGGGAATGTGCAGTAATTATTTAATTCCCCACAAATATGTGGAAGATTTGGAATGCCCTAGTCTTTAATGTACCGTTTCCAAAAGGAGAAAAAGATAAAAATCTAAGAGGGAAAGACGTATTGGCACTCTAAATACACTGGGCTTTTGGGGCTTGTGTGACAATGGGGGAGATACAGCAACAATGGACAGCACATCTTTGCACCTCTGTGGACAGAATCAGCAATCGGATCACACTTCCCCAGTATTTGGAGGACAGGGTCCCTTTTGTCCATCCCTGCTCCTATCCTGGAGCAGCTGTGTGCAAGCTGCACCATGCATATATACGCAATTGTCTGCTATGGGGCTGAGTGACAAGAAACAGGTGGCTGGTACTGTGCTAAGAGCTGAGATTGGCCAGATGTGGTGGCTCACACCTGTAATACCAGCACTTTGGGAGGCTGAGGCTGGCAGGTCACCTGAGGTCAGGATTTCAAGACTAGCCTGGCCAACATGCTGAAACCCTGTCTCTACTAAAAATAGAAAAAAAAATTAGCTGGGTGTGGTGGCGGGTGCTTGAAATTCCACCTACTTTGGAGGCTGAGGCAGGAGAATCACTTCAACCGGGAGGCAGAGGTTGCAGTGAGCCAAGATCATGCCATTGCACTCCAGCCTGGGCAACAAGAGGGAAACTCCATCTCAAAAAAAAAAAAAAAAAAAAAAACTGATATTGACCAAAATTAATCACAATTTACTGTTCAAGACTTCGCATGGAAATTGTTAGTCTTCAATAAACTCCAGAGTTTCAATGTAGTTACATCAGATAGTTCCCAGTGTAATTGTTGTCTAGATGGGAAGAGAAGATTTGGTGTTTCCTACACTGCGATTTTCCCAGAATTCTAGTCTCAGATATTTTGTTTTACAGACTAGGTCCACCAATATTTTAAGAAATAAATAGTTGCAAATTTATATAAGGTTTTTGAAAGAAAATGAGAAACTCTCCAAATTTATTTTATAATCAATATATTATTAATTCTGGAACTAGACAATGACAAGAAATAAAAATTATAATCAAATATCACTGAGACACATAGATGTAAAAGTAATTATCAAAATATTAGAAGTCAAAGTGAACAATAAAACAAGGTAAGTTTATTGCAGAATGCAAGGACGGTTTTAGTAAAAAATACATTAATAAGATTTACTATGTTAATAAACTAAGAGAACAAAAATATAATCCTCTTATAGGTATTGAGTAAACATTTGACAGATTTCATGTCCTTTCGTAATTAAAACTATCAGTAAATCAGACCAAGATGGAAATTTCTTTACCTTGATAATAGGTATCTGTGGTACAATAAAAAACATTTCTGGAAGCAAATTCTGACATGTTATAAAATAGATAAAACATAAGGACATTATTGTGCTTTGTAAAATAAACTAGTCACAAAAAATAAATACTGTATTATTCCACCTATGTATGGTACCTATCATAGCAAAGTGCATAGAGATAGAAAGTAGAATGTTGGATTTTAGAGGCTGGGAGGAAGAGTAATGCTCAGTTGTTAATGCATATCAAGTTTCAGTTTTGCAAGATAAAAAGAGTTCTGGAGATTGGTTACACAACAGATTGTAGTTAACACTACTGAACTTTATACTTAAAAATGGTTAAGATAGCAAGTTTTATTTTATGCATCATACACACACACACACACACACACATGCACACCACACAGGTGTATACACACAGAGAGATCTCCTTGAGTTATGATGGACCTATGTCCCAATAAATCCATTATAAATCAAAATATCTTAAGTCAAAAAGGTATTTAATACTCCAGTAAATCCATCATAAAGTTGGAAATTATAAGTTGAATCATCATAAGTCAGGGACTGTCTGTATATGTAATATATATAGTCTTTGTCCCAGGTTTCTGGCACAGAGTTTCAAAACCTTTGGAGTTTCCTGAGTAAGAGAAGTTATGCTAATGAGTCTCCTAAGTATCATTAGTTATCTAGTAAGTCAAATCATGATAGAGGTCTTAGATAGCTTCAGGATGGGCACTGGTTAACAGAAAAACCAATCACATAATTAGAGGGCTGAAACATTCAGCCACCTGACCTCCAGGAATGGTAAGGGGACTGGAGGTTGAGTTCAGTCATGTGACCGATAATTTGTCCAACTTACCTATGTAATGAAACACTAATCGAAGCCATAGACACTGCAGCTCTGGGAGCCTAATTGTTGGCAAACATGCTGACATACTTAAAGGATGGCATGCCCTGACTCCCTGGGGATAAGCATTCCTGTTCATAAGATCCTTCCAGACCTTGCCCTATGTATTTCTTCACCTGGCAGTTCATTTGTATCCCTCACAATTAAATGGTAATAAGTAATATGCTTTCCAGAGTTTTGTGAATCATTTTAAGCAAATTATGTAAACTAAAGGGGTTGTGGGAAGCCCCAAATCTGTAGCTGGCCAGGCAGAAGTGTGAGTAGTCCAGGGACCCCACTTGCAGCTGGTATCTGAAGTACAGACAATTGTCCTTTAATTATAGGATCTGACATAACATCAGATAGTGTCAGAATTAAATGGAATTACAGAACACCCAGTTGTCAGATAACTGTTGTCAGAACACAGTGCCTATGAAAAAACTTACCATAATTTTTTTAATGGTGAAATTTTGAAAATATTACCTTTGCAATGAGAGAAGGAAGAAAAATCATGAATTCTATTAACCATGTTCTAGACTGAGTAGTCAACATGAAAAAAGAACAAATATGCACGTGGATTATAAAGTAAGAGAAGATATACTAATTAAACAATAGACAGTATGAGTGTATAGAAAGAAAACTCAAAATAAAATACAAATTAGAGCTTAGCAAAATAGCCTATACAAATCAATATAAAAATCGAGTATACAGCTTTTGACAATAGAACTATCAATAGTAAGTATCTGTAAATATTAAATATCTACAAAATCAAATGAAGGGGATTTCTGGGTCCAAACTGGTAGCATAGAAGCAAGCTGGCTTTATTCCCTTGCACAGACAACCAAAAACAAACAGTGCTGAGATAATCACCAGCAATTCCCAGAACACAAATCAGCATGATGATAAGACATTTCCCAGAGCCACCAAGAAGTGAAAATACTCTTGAGCAGATGATGAAAAAACTGAACTTCCACATCCATGACACCCCTCCCACCAACCTTTTTGGTACCACACACACAGAATATTTTCCCCCAACTCAGCTTCTACAATTAAAAAACAAAACAAAAAAAAAGTGAGAGTGAGATGTACAACCAGCTTCCTACCATCTTGGGTTACCTGCAGGAGATTTATCCCTGCCTCAACCTATAGAAGCACTGGGAGTGCCTAAAGAGAGAAATATGTCTGAGCACAGTCAGAGACAAACAGGGTAGGTAATATTGCCATTTTCAGCCCTAAAATCTCTACTCTGTAACTTGGCCAAAGGAGATGCCAAATCTTAGAGGCAGTTCATCAGAACCATGCTGTGGGAGATTCATTCCATAGGTTCCCTGGGGACAAACTCCTAGCCAGCCTTCCCAGACTACTGAGATATCCCTTTTGGGACATACCCATTCAAGGATGTCTAGTACACTCTGACTGTGTACTAGAACGGAGGCAAACCTGGGATTAAGATGCCATCTAGTGAAAAAGGAGGCAGTGACCTAGCAGGAAAAAAAAGAAAAAACATCAAGAGGTAAATTACAAAGAACCTCTAAGCAAACACATCCAATAAAAACCAAAACCAATGAGACAGAAAAGATAAATAGCTAATCATTCAATGTAAAGACATAGACATACATCCATAAGAAACAACAGCAAACAGGGAACCATGACACCCTCAAATGAACAAAGGAAGAAACCAGTTCAACAAACTGGCAATATGTAAACTCTCTGAGCAAGAATTTAAATAGCAGTTTTAGAAAACTCAGTGACCTCCAAGATAATACAGAAAAGCAAAGTAGAAATTTAACAGATACATTTAACAGATTGAAAAACTTACAAAAATCAAACAAATCTTGGAATTGAGAAGTACATTTACTTAACTGAAAAAGTCATGAGAGACTCTTAATAGAAAGGACCAAGCACAGGAAAGAATCAGTGAGCTCAAAGACAGGCTATTTGGAAACAATCAGAGGAGAAGAAGAAAAGAATGAAAAGGAACAAAGATCACCTACAAAACACAGAAAAATAACATTTAAAAAAACCAAAATCTAAGAATTATTGTGTTCAAGATAGATAGAAAGCTTATTTGGAGAAATAATAATTGAAAACATTCCAAAACATAAGATATAAAAATTGATGTAAAGTCAGAGAACACCAAACACATTTGACTTAAATTAGACTATATCAAGGTATATATTAATTAATCTCTCAAAAGTCAAGGACAAAAAGATGATCCTAAATGCAGTAAGAGAAAAGAAGCAAATGACTTATAAGCGGGGTCTCAATTCATCCAGCAATCCTCAATGTGGAAACCATACAGACCAGGAGGGAGGAGGACAACATTTGCAAAATACTAACGGAAATCTGTCATTCAAGAATATTATATTCCACAAATCTACCTTTCAAATATGAAGGAGATCTAAAGAATTTGCAAACCATCAGAGGCTGAGAGAATTCAACACCAAAACACCCATCTTACAAGAAATGCTAAAGGGAGTTCTTCAATCTGAAAGGGGAAAAAAAGTGCGCTAGTATGCCAGAAGAAAACATCAGAATGCGTAAAACCCACTGGTAAAAATAAGTACACAAACAAACCCAGAATACTCTAATACTGTAATTATAGTGTGCAATCCACTTACAACTCTAGCATGAAGCTCAAAAGACAAATCTATCAAAAACAAGAATACCTACAGCAACTTAAGAGGAAGGCAATATTAAAATATGTAAATTAACATAAAGATAAAATGTGAGGACGATGGAGTTAGAGTATAGAGTTTTAAACAATTTTTGTTTGTTTTTCTTTCTTTTCTTTTCTGTTAGTTTTGAGACAGGTATCACTCTTTAACCCAGGCTAGAGTACAGTAGTGTCAACATGGATCACTGTAGCCTCAGACTCTCAGGCTCAAGTGATTCTCCCACCTCAGCCTCCTGAATAACTGGGACCAATAACCATGCCCTGCTATTTTTTTTTTTTTTTTTTTTTTTTTTAGAAATGGGGGTCTCACTATGTTGCTCAGGCTGGTCTTGAAGTCCTGAGCTCAAGTAATCTTCCTGCCTCAGCCTCCCAAAATGCTGGGATTATAGGCATGAGCCACCAAGCCTGGTTGTTTGTTTCTATTCTTAGTGATCTGAGATAAGTTGTCATATCTTTAAAATATATTGTTTTATCCATAAGAGGTTTTCTGGTAAGCCTCATGGTAACCACAACACAGAAACCTATAACAGATTTTATTCAAAATAAAAAGCAAAATATTATATCATACTACCAGAGAAAATCACTTAACCACAAAAGAAGACAGTAAGAAAGGAAAAAAAAAAAAAGGAGAAAGGAGTTACAACCATAAAACAAGCAACAAAATAGCATGTTTTTACTTATCAATAATAATACTAAATATAAATGGACTCAACCTCAAATTAAAGGATATAGAGTGGCTGAATGAATTAAGAAAAATGACTCAAATATGCTCCCTACAAGAGACCAACTTCACCTATGAAGATACACATAGACTGAGAGTAAAGCAGTGAAAAAAGACATTCCATGCAACTTGAAACCAAACAAGAGCAGGAATAGGTATACTTAAATATAACAGCTTACAAATCAAAGATTATGAAAAGAGACCAAAGGGCCTCTACATAATGATAAAGGGGTTAATTCAGCAAGAGGATACAAAATTATTATTATCCATTAATCCAAAACCAGAGTTCCCAAGTATATAATGCAAATATTAATAGATTTAAAGGGAGAGATAGACTGCAACACAATATTAGTAGGGAACTTTAACATGCCACTCTCAGTAATGGACAGATTATCTAGACAGCAAATCAATAAACCTCAGAGTTAAACTATATACTAAACCAAATAGGCCTAACATTTGCAGAATATTTAATCCAACTGCTGCAGAATATAAATACCTTTCAACAGCACATCAAACATTCTCCAGAAAAGATTATATCTTAGGCCACAAAACAAAGTTTAAACAATTCAAATAACTAGAAATCGTATCAAGTATCTTTTCTGGCAGTGGAACAAAGCTAGAAATTAATAACAAGAGGAACCTCAGAAACTACAAACACACATAGAAATTAATCAACATGTTCCTGATCAATAGGTTAATGAAAAAAATTAAGAGATTAAAACATTTCTTAAAAAATGAAAATAGAAATAAAACATGCCAAAATTTATGAGATGCAGCAAAGCAGTACAGAGAGGACAGTTTATAGCAATAGATGCCTACATCTAAAACATAGAAAGGCTCCAAATAAACAACCTAATGATGAACTTCAAGGAACTAGAAAAGCAAGAACATATGGGACCACAAGTAGGTAAAAGAAAAAATAATAATAAAGGACAGAGCAGAAATAAAATCGACTCTAAATCACAATACTGAAAATCAAAAAATGAAGTTAGTTTTTTGAAAAAAGTAAACAAAATTGACAAATCTTCAGCTAGACTAAGGAAAAAAAGAAGCGAAGACTCAAAATGAGAAATGAAAATGATATAACAACTGAGACCACAGAAATACAAGAATCATTAGGGAGTATTATGAACAACTATATGCCAACAAACTGGAAAACCTAGAAGAAACTGATACATTCCCAGATGCATAGAACCTACTAAGATTTAACCATGAAGAAATAGAAACATCAACAAACCAGT
Organism: Homo sapiens; assembly: GCF_000001405.40. Classification (NCBI taxonomy): domain Eukaryota; kingdom Metazoa; phylum Chordata; class Mammalia; order Primates; family Hominidae; genus Homo; species Homo sapiens. The sequence continues at coordinate 165,791,492 of NC_000005.10, read as the reverse complement.
AATGAGTAATGAAATTGAAGCCCTGTTAAAAAGTCTCCCATTAAAGAAAATTCGAGGACCTGAAGCCTTTACTGCTAAATTCTACCAAACATTTGAAGAAGAACTAATACCAATTCCATTCAATGTCTTAAAAAAATTAGAGGAGAGAATATTTCCAAACTCATTTCATGAGGCCAGCATTACCTCAATACCAAAACAAGACAAAGACATGGACAAAAAAGAAAACTACAGGCCAATATACTTGATGAACATAGATGCAAAAATCTTCAACAATATCCTGGCAAACTGAATTCGACAACATATTAAAAAGATCATTAACCCTTATCAAGTGGGATTCATTATGGAGATACAAGGATATTTCAACATACACCAATTAGTAAGTGTGAAAGATCACCTTAACAAAATCAGGAACAAAAACCATATGGACATTTTAATGGATGCTGAGAATGTATTTGATAAAATTTGACATTTTAGGTAAAAACCTTCAACCAACTAAGTACAGATGGAACATAACTCAAAATAATAAAAGGTATATATATATAAGACAACAATGCCTACTTTCATGACTTTTATTCAAAATAATACTGCAAATTCTGGCCAACGAGGTAAGAGAAAGAAAGAAAGGGCATCCCAATTCGTAAGAAAGAAGTGAAATTAGTCTTGTTCATAGATGACATGATCTTATACTTTTAGAAGAACCCAAAATCTCCTCCAAAAGAACCTGTTAGAATGATAAACAAATTTGGTAAATTTGCAGAATACAAAATCAACATATGAAAAACAGTAGCACTTATATATACCAACAGCAAACAATCTGATAAAGGAATCAAGAAAGCAATCCCATTTACAATAGCTACAAATAATTTACAATACATAAAAATCAATTTAGCTAAATAAGTAAAAAATTTATACAAGAAAAATGATAAAACACTGATGAAATAAAATGAAGAGGACACACAAAAGTAGAAGGGTATATCATGCTTATGAATTGGGATAACATCGTTAGTGAAAATGAAAATTATACCCCAAATTGCAGATTTAATGTAATCCATAACAAAACACCAATAATATTCTTCACAGAAATAGAAAAAAAAAATTTGAAAATTTACATGAAACCACCCAAAAAGACCCCAAAGAGCAAAAGCAACACTGAGAAAAAAGAACAAAACTTCAGGAATCACACTACCTAACTTCAAAAAATACAACAACGCTATAGTAACCGAACTAGCATGGTACTGTAATGATAACAGATACACAGCATGGTACTGTAATGAAAACAGACACACAGCATGGTACTGTAATGAAAACAGATATACAGATACACAGATACACAAATTAGAGAACTCAAATATAAATTCACATCTTTACAGTCAACTCGTTTTTAACAAAGGCACCAAGAACTTACAAAAGGGAAAGAACCGCTTCTTCAATAAGTGGTGCTGGGAAAACTGGATAACCATATGCAAAAGAATGAAACTAGATTCCTATCTCTCACCATATACAGAAATCAAACAAATCAAAGTAGGTTAAAGTTTTAAATATGAAATCTCAACTATGCAGCGTGCAGAAGAAAATATACAGAAAATGCTTTAGGAAATTGGTCTAAGTGAAGATTTTATTGATAAGACTTTAAAAGTACAGGCAACAAAAAATACGCAAATGCGACTATATCAAACTAAAAAGCTTATGCACGGCAAAGAAAACACTCAGCAGAGTGAAGAGTCAACCCTGTTTAATGGGAGAAAATATTTGCAAACCATTTATATAAGAAGCTAATATGCAGAATATATAAGGAGCTTAAATACATCAATAACAACAACAAAAAAATCCAGTTCAAAAATGGGCAAAAGTTCTGAATAGACCTCTCTTAAAAGAGGACATACAGTCAGGCATGGAAGCTTATGCTTGTAAGCCCATCACTTTGGGAGGCCGGGCGGGGGGCGGGAGGTGTATCACCTGAGGTCAGGAGTTCGAGACCAGCCTGGCCAACATGGTGAAACCCCATCTCTGCTAATAATACAAAAATTAGCTGGGCCTGGTGGTGCGTGCCTGTAATCCTAGCTACTCAGGAGGCTGAGGCAGGAGAATCGCTTGAACCTGGGAGGTGGAGGTTGCAGTGAGCCAAGATCACGCCACTGCACTTCAGCCTGTGTGACAAGAGCAAAACTCTGTCTCCAAAAAAAAAATAAAATAAAATAAAAAAAAAGGACATACAAATGGCCAAAAGGCATATAATAAAATGCTCAACATCAATAATCACATGAAAAATGCAAATTCAAATAACATGAGATATCATCTCATTTCAGTTAAAATGGCCTTCATAAAAAAGACAGGGAATAACAGATGCTGGCAAGGATGTTGAGAAAGCGGAACCCTCATACACTGTTGGGAATGTAACTTAGTACAGCTACTCTGAGGTATAGTATGAAAGTTCCTGAAAAAGTAAAACTAGACCTACCATATGATCCAGCAATTTCACTCCAGGGTATGTATCCAAAATAAAGGAATTCAATATATATATAAAAAAAATTGTGTTCCCATGTTTATTGAAGCCATATTCACAATAGCCAAATCATGAAATTAACCTTCATTGCTGAAGTGTCCACCAATGAATAAAGAAAGAAAATGTGGTATATACACACAATGAATTATTCAGCCATTAAAAAAGAATAATATCTTGCCATTTGCAGCACTATGGATGGAATGAGAGGTTATTATGTAAAGTGAAATAGGCACAGAAAAACAAATATCACATGTTCTTACTCATGTAGAAGCTTAAAAAAGTAGATCTCATGAAGACAGAGAGTAGAATGGTTATCAGAGGACAGGAAGAGTAGGGGGAAGAAAGGAATAAAGAGAAGGTGATTAATGTGTATAGGTACAAAATACAGTTTGATAGAAGAAATAAGACTTAGTGTTTGCTAGATCAGCAGAGTGACAATAGTTTAAAATAATCTATTGTATATTTCAAAATAGCAAGAAGATAATAATTTTAATGTTCCTTACATAAGGAAAATACAAATATTTAATTTGATGACTATTCCAGTTACACGAATTTGTTACAAATTATATGAATATATTAAATTATACGTACCCCTAAAATATGTATATTATGTATCAATAAAATATAAAAAGATCAAATGAAAGATATAATATGTATGAATTAGAAGACTCAATAGTATAAAGATGCCATTTTTTTACAATTGTTTTCTAAACTTTCTACAATTTGATTTAAAATATCACAGGAATGTTTATAAAGAAATTGACAATTTATTTCTAAAATGTATACAAAGTTGGGATAGACAGAATTCTAAAGATGTCTCCCGAGTTTTGTTTTCCTGCTTTAGTTCCTGGGACTATAAATATGATGAGATACCATGCCTATGATTAGGTTACACAAAAAAGTGGATTTTGAAGATGTAATTAAGGTCACTAATCAGTTGCTTTGAGTCCATCAAAAAGGTGAATATAATCTAATCCTATGAGCACTTTTAAAAACACAAAACTTTTTTCTGGCTAGTAGCAGAATAAGTAGTTAGAAATTTGAATCAAGAGAGGAACTGACACACTGTTCCTAATATTAGAGGTTCACAATGGAAAAGACCTGGAAACAGCCACTATGAACTAAGAACAACCACCAGATTAAAATGCAAAGATATTGGAATCTCAGTTACAGAACCACAAGTAAATAACGCCTACCAACAACAAGTATTAGCCTGGAAGATTTTTCCCCAGAGACTACAAATGAGAACTCAGCCTGGCTATTTCCTTGATGTCAGCCTTAAGCAGAGAACCAAGACACTCCATGCTGGAATTCTGACCTATAGAAGTCTACTAAATGGGTGTTATTTTAAACCAATAAATTCATATGCAACCAGGAAAACCTAATACAGAAATGCAATAGTCCAAAAGTATGTATGATGTTTTAAAACAAAAAGAATAAAATAGGACTGCACTTGGCCTATCAGAAATGAAGAAAATTATAAAAGCTATAGTAATTAAGAGATTGTGATCATGCTGCTAGTGCAACTAAAGATAATCTCCAGAAACTGACCCATTGATATCCTGAATTTGCTTTACCGTTCAGGTAGTGTTGTACGTAACTGAGGAGAGGAAGATCAATTCAAATAAATTGTATAAGAATTCTTAGTCACCCATACTAGAAAAAAATGAAATTTATTCAAAACTTCTTACTATACAGACACATCAACTTTAGATAGATAAAAATTCTAAAATGTCAGAAGTCAAAACTATAAAACTTTACAAAAAATATAGGTAGATATCTTTATGACCTCAGAGAAAGAGATTCTCTAACAAAACTGATACAATACCATACAAAAAATATACAGCAACCATATTAAAACAATACAGCACTACAGAAGTAGGTACAGCCACAAAACCTTCTGTTCCTCAAAAGATCCCTTTAAGAAAGAAAAGCCACAGTGTTGGAATATATTTATAAAAGTTAACTGAAAACCACAGGTACTCGAAAAAAATTAAAAAAAAAAAAGAAATTCAAAGTCAGTTAAAAAAAAAAAGCCCAGAAAGTCAACATTTTAAATAGGTAAATGATTAACAGATATCATACAGAAGAGAAAAAAAGAAGGCAAAAAGAAGTTCTTCAACTATAAGGAAGGATATGCAAATTGAGATGAAAACAATATACTTTTTTTTTGCCCATTATATTGGCACAAATTAACAAGTATGACAGCACCAAGTACTGGTTAGATTGTGTATAAACATAGCTCTTATATGCACACTGCAAATGAGAAAGAAAATTGGCACCAATACTTTGAGAAATAATCTGACATTATTTTAGAACATTAAAGATACTCAAGCTGTAAGACTCAAGAACCCCATCATTAAAATATGCCAAAGCACCAGCTGAGCCTGGCTCCCAGTACAACTTATTTTCTACCTCACCTTCCTCTTTTCCTTCAAAAACTAAGTTCAAATGCTGCCTCTCTGCCTCTGCTCACCTAGTTCCCTTCTTTGCTCTTATTTTTTCCTCTTTCTTCTTTCTCTTTCTCTGTGCACAAATCCTACCTATACATAAAAGACAGTTTAGTCTATAAGAAAAATAAGCATCCATCATTCAACAAACATATATTGAGCAAGTCACTCTGCGCCAAGAATTGAGAGCATGACAGTGAACGACATAAACATGTCCTCTACCTTGTGTTTCTTGCTTTCCAAAAAGTGACTAGGTGGTTGGTGTGGAGACAATAAACCAGTAAATCAAATAAATTAAGATTGTCCCGAGAAAAGTAAATATGGTGATGTTATCTGTGAAAACAATGATTGTGGAAGTAGAAATGTATGTTAACTACAATGGGTCCTGAGGAAGTCAGTTTTAAAAGTCAGTTTAAAAAAAAAAAAAAAGAAAAAAAAAAACCAGCAAATCAACATTGTTAGGCATTTCCTTCCTTAAGATTCCAAACTTCTAGCCAGGTGTGGTGGCTCATATCTGTAATCCCAGCACCTTGGGAGACCGAGGCAGGTGGATCACCTAAGGTGAGGAGTTTGAGACCAGCCTGGTCAACATGGTGAAACCCAGTCTCTACTAAAAATACAAAAATTAACCAGGCATGGTGGCAGGCACTTGTAATTCCTACTCGGGAGGCTGAGGTGGGAGAATTGCTTGAACCCAGGAGGCAGAGGCTACAGTGAGCCGAGATCGTGCCACTGCACTCCAGCCTGCGTGACAGAGTAAGACCTCATCACAAAAGAAAAAAAAATATTCCATACTTCCAATAATATGCACACATATGTACGCAAACAGGCATGTGTACACGCACGTCTCCTATTCAAGACTCTCAGCTTCTGATTAGTCCAAATTTGATTCATCATTCTGTTTGTAGTGAGGTACCTCACTATGCTACTCATAGGGAATAAATAAATACTAACTGAACAAATGCATACAGTAACTAGTCACTAAGTATCTTTCTTCTGTATTGCTAAGTTTGCAGTGCTCCCAGATGAACTGGGGTTGAAGCTTCTCTGCCTTCTCCAACATCATCTTCTGCCATAAAAGCTTGGTTGCCCTTTAGTCTTCCCCTGTATTGAATGGTTTGGAGGACATGGACGTTTTTCTCAAAAAAAAAAAAAAAAAAAAAAAAAAATCTCTGACACTGACACAGACCTTAGGAATCTGAAGGCAAATTATAAATGAAGGTTGGGGACCAGCAAATTCTAATCAATGTACATAGACAGAGATATCAGTTTGTGTTGTTCCTGCTATTTTATCTACTAATAGGAACGTTTTAAAAATGCTTAGGGTAAAAATACTTAACTTTTCATTGTAATGGCCATATTTTTTATAAGTAATTCTATGAATTTCTGATCATTTATGCAGATAATACATTTATTTTTGAACCAATAATATGTTTTCTATAAGATTTTCAAGCTCTCATTCTATGATAGTAAAACTGCTTTCCAGGAATGTGATATTCATTTGTATACACCCTAGTTGTCTCTGAGATTGCTTATGTCTGGACTACACAAAGGAGGGATTTCCATTTTAAAGTATTTGCCATGTTACAAAGCAAAACTGTTAAAAACCCACACAAAAACACAAAAAGGAAATCTTTATTTTTAATTTTCACTCTTTTATGTAACTGAAGTTAAATTATTTTCGTATGCTCATTATTCTTTTGTAGTTGTTATGCTTTGAGATCTATTTACCACGTTGACTCTGAAAGAAAAAGACATTGGTTCTTTTAAAATTTATCTTTAATTCTGGAATTTTAGAAAAGTATTTTCTTAGTTTGTTATTTGTCATTTAACTTGGCTACTGATTACTTTCTGATGTATAAACGTGTATACATTTTAATTCAAATACGTTGATCTTTCCCTTGGATTTGTCTCCGTTGCTTGAATGCTTAAAAAGTTTGTTTATGCCTAGAAGTCCAGAGATCACAAAAAGTAATTATCTAAATTATCATTTCATTTTTGTAAGATTTCAGCTTTACATTTACTCTAAGTTGACTCCTTTAGTCTATGATTTTAGCTTGTCTCTCCCTTGATTTTATTTTGTTATATGATGTCAGTGAGTCTACGTTTTTGTCCCTCCTAAAGACACTCCATAACTCCATTTATTTAGTCATTCTTTCGTGAAAGCTTTGTGATATTTTCTCTCTTTCGAGATGCACTCTCACTCTGTCACCCAGGCTGGAGTGCAGTGGCACTGTCTCGGCTCACTGCACCCTCCGCCTCCCGTGTTCAAGTGTTTCCCTTGCCTCAGCCTCCGGAGTAGCTGGGACTACAGGTTCCCACTACCATGCCCAGCTAATTTTCTTTTGTATTTTTAGTAGAGACAGGGTTTTGCCATGTTGGCCAGGCTGGTCTTGAACTCCTGACCTCAAGTGATCCGCCTGCCTTGGGCTCCCAAAATGCTGGGATTACAGGTGTGACCCACCGCACCCAGCCTGTTTTTTTTTTTTTTTTTTTTTTTTTTTTTTTTTTTTGAGACAGAGTCTCGCTCTCGCTCTCGCCCAGCCTAGAGTGTAGTGGCGCGATCTCGGCTCACTGCAAGCTCCGCCTCCCGGGTTCACGCCATTCTCCTGCCTCAGCCTCCCGAGTAGCTGGGACCACAGGCACCCGCTACCATGCCCGGTTAATTTTTTTGTACTTTTAGTAGAGACGGTGTTTCACCATGTTAGCCAGGATGGTCTCGATCTCCTGACCTCGTGATCCGCCCGCCTCAGCCTCCCAAAGTGCTGGGATTACAGGCGTGAGCCACCGCGCCTGGCCGGTATTTTCTTAATTGGACACATATTGTCTTCATAGGCATGCAAACATATCTATGTTTCTGTGTTTTCTGCTCACTCTCTTGATATGCTTGTATGTACTGCTGTTCAATGTATGTCTCTTTAATATGTTTCAACATATTTAGAATATATTTTGAAATACATTTTAAAGCATGCTTAGTCACTTCATTTCTATTTCTCTTTTATGGAATGTTGATATATTTTGGCAATGTAGATAATTTTATCTTTTTGACAAATCTTTCCTCAACTAAATCACCTGTTTATTTAATTACTGTCACTAACAATTACAAGCAAATACAAAAATAAAAAAAAAACCTTCTTGGCAATTTTAAAAATAATGATTGTCATAAAACAACATATAGCCCTAAAAATAAACCTTTCTTCAGTAGTCAAAGAATTCCTAAGTTAAACTTTACTGTTCTTTACATAATGACTTAATGTTTGAGTTATGGATCTAAAGTATGCCCATAAACAGGTCACTTGAAACCTGTGGTAAGTGAGCAGTGCCCTGGCATCCATCCCCAGAATGCTTTTTAAAACTACCATGTTGGTGCTCGGTATCCTAGTGCACACACCTTGCAAGTATGGGTGCCATGAGTCTGACTACCAGTTCCAGCGGACGACTTGAATGAATCACAGCAGTTACTACTGCTGCTGGGACAGCTGCAATTGATTATCGAGCTTACAAAAGGTTTTATGTTAAAGATCATCGAAATAAAGCTACGATAAACCTTCACATCCAGAAAGACAACCCCAAGATAGTACATGCTTTTGACATGGAGGATTTGGGAGATAAAGCTATACGATACTGCCATTGTTGGAGGTCCAGAAAGTTCCCATTGTGTGATGGGGTCTCACACAAAACACAAGGAAGAGACTGGAGACAATGTGAGACCTCTGATCATCAAGAAAAAAGAAACTTAAATGGACATTTTTCATGATGCAAATCGAGTTGTTATGAAGTTACCTGATTGTTTAGTGAGAATAACTACCACCTCTGTGTAATTCACCTCCCCTGGATTCTAAATGTGGTATACTGCAATCTGCAGCTTTCACGTTCATGGCACTTGTCTTAGTTGTTGAAACATCGTGGTGCACATTTGTTTAAACAAAAAAAAAAAAAAAAAAAAAAAAAGGAAAAAGGGAAAACCAACCTCATGGCCTGTGGGTTATTTTGGTCTTGTAAAGATCCGTTTCTTTAAAGTATTGACATATAGAGTTGTATCTTATATAGAATGTAGTTGTATCTTAAAGTCAACACATTAAATTATTCTCAAAATTTAAAAAAAAAAACCTACTATGCCACTCTCCAATATTTTTTCAATATAATGAGTAAGGTGTTAACGAGGGATTGAATAGAACTAAATGCCCATTAAATAATATGGGATCGCCATTACAGGAAAAGTGTCATTATTTTGCATTTAGACCATTCCTAGCAACAATGGAGAGTCAAGGGGGTGGGGAAGGAAACTAAGGAAAGGAAGCTGGGAAAGACAGGGAAATGGCAAGAAAGCAGAAGTGGATTGTAGATGTGGGCTTTTGAAAGGAAGTGATGAGAGGTGATCCTCAACACTGCGGCTTTCAGAACTTCAGGCATCCCTGCCCCCCAAGCGGAGTGGAGAAGAGAATTATAAATCGAGCATAGTACCCTGTTATGTAGATGTTTTATTCTAACAAGGAGTGTTGCATTTAAATATAATGCTGTTTGCTTTGTGCAAAACTGAAACTGAAACATTTGTAAAGGTTTCTTTGTACTGTTTCTAATCTATAATTTAACAGATTTGTTCCGCCAGAACAAACATTTGCTGAATGTCATGGAAATGGTTTTGAAAAGTATAAGTGTCAGCAAGATCGCCTCTGAACACAACACTTGAACAAGGCAGCAACTATATACTGAACACACAGACCCACCCACAAAATGGGCAGTGTTTCAGCTATAGTCAGTATTCTTTCAAATACTTTCCTTTTTTCTGTCCTTAGGACATGCCTTCAAACTCTTCCACATATTCTGCACAAGCAAGAGGCATTAATCACACAAATCTACATGTCCATTTATCCAGAATTTTGCCTATGATCCATCCTTTGAATAACTTATACTCTTGACCTTTCTGATCAATAAGATGAATGATAAAGGCAAAGGCTTGTGGTTTACATCTTCGTAGAAATTGCCGTCTCTTCTGAGTAGTTAAAATAAATAATTCCTTTGGTGTTATTCATTGCCTCCTGCAAGCAATATTTGTATGTGTGTGGGAGCGAGATGCACTGTATCTTCTTACCTTTGATGTTTGGTCTTGTTTTGGGGCTGCTCTTTTGACAAGCTTTCAAAAGCCCCCTACTATGAATGTCGAATTAAGTGCCCTTATAAATATGCATGAACATAAACCTCATATACTCATTTTGGTGGCTACTCACTGTGCTGGGTTGCCCTGGAAGCCATTCCAAATGGTTTTGATTTTGCGTTTGAGATTCTTAATGGTGGTAATTATCTGTTGCAGCCATGCAGTACCAAATACGATGCGTGTTAGAGATACTTTAAAAAATAATAATAAAAGCGACTACAGATGCTAATTCCCACATTTTAGTTCCTACAGGGCAATTAGCCCCTAGTAATGATGTTTATATTTATATGCAAATGTTTCAGGAAAAATGAATCTTAACGGAGACTTCATATCAATACTATTGGGAGATGAGAGCATTCCATCTGTCTGTAGAAAATGCCTGCCATTAGCTCTCCATGCAGCCTATTTCTGTAATAGAAACTATTTAATCTTAAGTAATTCATTCTTCATTTTGTATTTTCCCTTCCTTCTGTTCTTTTATTAAGACTCTTAGCTAATGTACAGTATGTGCAGCTCTTCAGGGCCTACACATAGGTGTCTTGCCACATTTTTTTCTGAGTATCATCTGTTCCTTGAATTACTACCTAACATACTCACCATTACTCATTTTGAAATAATAATCAAGTAACCAAAGCAGGCTTCTCAGGGGGCACTCATTGGTTAATATCCTCTGATGTAGAAATTACAACAACATACATAGACGGAAATGTAATGAAGAAGCAAAGTTCTAAATTACAGCTGTAGCTTTTGACTAGCTTCTGGCTGACAAAAAAAAGTGCAAGAAAAATTGCTTCTTCTTGCACATGTGAGGAAATTGAAGCTTTAAGACATCTCATGAACTCCTTGTCTAGTCAGAGTTAGGGAGCAGGCTCAGTCTAGAATCAACCTCATTTTGCAACACGTTCTACTCCAAGACAATCTCAATATGGAGGGTCCTGTCATAACTAATCATTTTTTCTGTATTCTTTTTGTTTCCCCAAGACATTTTAAACTACTAATTGGCAATTCAGTTACTTGGGTAGTATCACTGAATACACAGCTTATCTTAGATATATTCTCTTGCAGAGGAATAAAGTGCACATCTATTATATCATTTAAGAATCATTATTTTGCTACATGTTTGACTGAGATCAGCAAAGAATAGGGTTTTTTTTTTTTTAGCTACTAGAAACAGAATCTCTAACTCCCTGATTACGTAAGACAGAATTGTTAACTGCATATAGAATTACAGAGTTCAACCTAATACTGTGAAAATGCTTAAGAGTTCAAATTTTATTTAGGATAATGAAAACATGGGGGAGAAAAGTCAAATAGCAGCATAGTAAGAATATGGTGTCATATTTACACCATCTCTATGGTAAAAATTCCTTTAAGAATATTAACACGTAAAGGTTAGGGTAGAAATTGGTGAATCTACTATGCTTAATCAAATTTAGGTATATGGTAATTACTTACAGCTTTCCATAGTAAAAGATGTACCCATTTGACATTTGTCTTTTTCCCCTTTAACCTAGAACAAAGAAGCAAACCACCCCCAAATTTCTAAATAAGGACCAAAATACCTCAAATAGTACTATATTTCAAAACACAGATGCTCATTGTCACTCCCTGTCAAAACCTGGAATGAAGAAGTCTGGGAAAGGGAGAAATTCAGCATCCTGCCAGTGGAAAATCTCATTAGAAACTCTAGAGATTTATCTGTCACTCTGACAAGATAATTTGATTTTAAATTTCATCACTGCTAGCCCTAATTTTAAAAATTAAATTGGAAAAAAAAGTGACTTCTTCTTCTCCCATATAATGAATAATAGGATAATATAAATCAAAATCAAGAGTGCCATTAATCAGAAATTACAAGAAAAAAATTGAAAAATTTTCGAGTTTGAGGGAAATAGAAAAGAAGTCCTCGTCCCTCACTCGTACCCACCAATCATGGAACTGGAATGAAGATCATTTAAAAGAGATTCCTTAGGCAGTTCAATTTAAAGCTTCAAAAGTTATCTTATCAATGCAGAATTTTAATACTTTCTTACAAAGTCTGGACTCTTTCAAAGGAGCAGCACTTATCCAAACCCCATCCTGAGCCTTTTTTAGTGCATCAGTATCCCAATTCATTCCTGAATGAGTGTTTCAGACAGCAGACACAACACGGTAAGATGTCATAAACATGCCTTTATTTTCAGGTGTGTTATAGTTAGCCAAGAAGCTAAAAATAAACCTTATAAAAATCCAGTCCCTTCTCTTCCTCAAGAATGAGACAAACAATTTAATGCCAGTGATTGATACACTTTCAAAAGTTGATCTACTTGAAGATCATCTTTTGCTTTTGCAGTCATATTTCTGTGTGGTATCTCAGAACTCAAGTATGCTCAGTTTCAGGGAGATCATCAAACAACTCATTAAACAGAATAGAATTCTATCCAAACCAAAATGCGACAGAGTGCCATAACTTGAGGATTGCTTTTTACATTTTTAGATGACCTACTTCATACACTTTCCAAATATTAAAATTTCTAAAGAATGAAGATTTAATGTCAGCTTGCTTGTTAGGGAATTGAGTTCAAGAAAGGTGAACGGCAGAATATTTTAATATGAAGTTGAGAAGTCAGGGGCACCTACTCTCTAGCCTCTCCATTTAGCAGGACCAGCTCTGATTGGCTCATTTTCCAAAAGGATTGCCTCCTGGAATGTTTACTTTTTCTTTAAGGGAGCTGTGTTTCTCATGCCTGGTACTTGTCACTCTTTAAGTCCTAGTTTCAAGTCTCTCCCTGCCACATTTCTTACAGGTAAATGAAGAGACAAACTATATTCCATTACTTAATAAAACATCACTGTGGTTTCCTGTAGGAAGTAGGCCAACTGTGAAATAGCCTCTCTCTTAACTGAAATTTAGAACCAAAATGCTTCACACAATTTAATATTTGCACGCTTTAGACTATCCTGGTTCTACTCTCTGGGACACCAAGATATTTCAATGATTCAGTGTATTCATATTTTTCAAAAAGTGGTCACACTTTCTACTTGGCAATCTAGGCAGATAAAGACTTTCGATAACGCTTTTCAGTATTTAGTGGTAAACGTGTGTAGATTCGTATATATGTACATGTATACGCATTTTGTGTATGTTATACAGAATGTGATACAAAATCTAATAAATGGTAATAGCTCTATCGCCAAATATGAATTAAAGAAATCGGGCTAAAAATGTGAATTAGCGTTATTCTTCTTATAAAGAAAATCCAACAGTAATTATTTTAAACATTGACCTTGTGTCTTGCCCAGATTTTAAAAAGTTAAGAAAAGTATTTACCTTACAAAGTTCTTATGGTTCCTCTCACGACTGGGCGATTTCTCGGGACACCTGCCTGAGTCCTCATCAGCAGTGTGGCTTCAACAGCAACTTCTCACCTGTTATGAAATGTTGAATTTGGAATTTTTAAAAAATCAGAATAAAAATATTTTCTTTTCAAATTTTACATTTATATGTCGATAAATGTTTAAAGATATAACTGCATATATATAGGATTTAGAGTATAAATCAATCCCACAACCTTTTTCTTTTTCCTGGTCATTTGTCACACATAATAAAACATAGATCGTGGAAAAGTAATATGAAAATAATTGCATAAAGATATGTACTTTTAAAAGGCCTTCATCAGAGATATTCAGCTTTTATTTTCAGGAACAAGCTCCTCAAAGATTTCACCTTCACCTTGAACACAGCAGTGACAAGCCAGTCAAGGTCTACCGAATCCAATTAGAGCAGTTTTCTGGGAAAGGAATTGTGCTTCTTGACAATATTAGGGCAAAATACTGTGTGAGCTGTTTTAACCGTAAGGAGGACAGTGGTAGCTACAATCATCTTTAGTCTGTGGCTTAAAACTGTGTCATAAAGCAATGACAGGCACAAAATATCTGTCAAGCTCTATTGGAACCAGTCATTGGCTGTTCCGCCCTACAGGCTGTGGGTTGTATATCCTGTTGTGTAAAATCAGAATGTTTTAGGGGTTAGAAATATTCAGAGCAGTGGACAGAGAAGTCACCATTGTCTGTCATAACTTAAGAGGGGTAATATTCTGTGAATCTTATTAAAAAAGGACTTTAAAAAAATTTACCAATTCAGAGATTTGAAAAAGGCCGGGCGCGGTGGCTCACGGCTGTAATCCTAGCACTTTGGGAGACCAAGGCGGGCGGATTGCCTGAGCTCAGGAGTTCAAGACTAGCCTGAGCAACACAGTGAAACCCTGTCTCCACTAAAATACAAATAATTAGCCAGGCGTGGCGTTGTGCGCCAATAGTACCAGCTACTCGCGAGGCTGAGGCAGGAGAACTGCTTGAACCTAGGAGACGGAGGTTGCAGTGAGCCGAGATCACGCTACTGCACTCCAGCCTGGGAGACAGAGAAAGACTCCGTCTCCCCCAAATCCACCAAAAAAATAAAATAAAATAAAATAAAATAAATAAAATAAAAAATAAAATAAAAAACCTGAAAGGTACCCACTTTTCTCTCACTCCATTACTTCAATAAACCCTGACAAATCCACCTCCTAAATGTCTCCTCTTTTGCCCCTCCCATTACACACTTCCTGCCATTTCCCTCACCATCTCACTTCCCACTAGCAAAATTTTTCTAACTGACTGCCCTTCCTCAGGCCTCTAAACATTCCAACCTTTGGCTTATTCCATATCAGAAATACTTTAGGCTGAGAATCTTAAGGAGAAATAAAATATTCTTTATGATCTGGCCTTGGTCTATTTTGCAGACTTATCTTCTGAGGGTTTCTATCCTTTCCCATTTTGAGGTCCAGCAATACCAAGCCCCACTCAGCCTACAATGACATCTTGCGTGTATTGTTCAGTACGCCCTTTCAGCCACCTAGAAAAGTTTCCATTGCTCATCTAAGCCCTATGTTGAGATGTTACCTTCTCATAGGCCTTTCCACTTTTAACTCCTGAGAAAGTTAATCTGTCCTCTAAGATGCCTCTGTAGCTCTGTCTGCAGTGCGCTTGTCTGTCTAGATGTCTATCATCCCTAATTGAATGAGAATCTTTTGGTCTAAGACCTATAGCATTTGGCCTCAGTTCTGAAATACCCAGCACAGTGCCTGATCTATAGAGGAAATGTGTATTAGATTGAATATACCATCTCTTTACTTGCTATTTCCTGTAACACTGGAGATAGTTTCTCAATGCTGGGCATTCCCAATGCTTAAAGATCTTTTGAAATTAAGTCCAGATGTGGGGCAGTAGGTGGCTGAGGCCCTAATATTTTGATTCTGTAGTTGCACAGAGTATGTCTCAAAGTGATTAAATCACCCCACCTCCATTATAGTATGCTCTCCAAAAACTGCTCAGAATAGTCACAAAATGGAATTTGGGTTCTTTAATGTGCCTTAGGAGAAGTAAGAGTTATTGGAATAAAGTTCTCAGTTTGAACAAGAAATTTATTCACATGGCCTAAAAAACCATGATTGATTAACTACCATGGATGATACTTTTAGAAGTCTATGTAGAAAAAGAAAAAAAAAATTGCTTTATTTTAAATGTCCAAGGGCCACCCAATTACACATAGGCAAGTCCAATGTATAAATTTCTTCCTCCCTGGATTTAATATCCATAGGTACTACAGGATAGATATTTGTTCTCATTAGGTTAATATTTTCACAGCTAATATTTGGTAAATAAAATCAATGAAACATCTATGCTAGGTTTTGTTTGTCCATGTTAAAGAGGGCTGAATGGAGTGAATCACCTAATTATATCAATCCTTTTACTTGCTATTACATGCTGGACATGAAGCTCTAATATCAATATAAGCTGCATTTGATCAACATGCAGGAGGAATGCAAAGACACTCTCTGGTTTTTGTAATGCTCTTTTCTACCTTTCGAAATTGAGTGGCTTTAAATAATCCTCCTGAAACTTCACACCTCACACCCCTTCAAAGCCCAATGCTCACACATGGTAGCATTAGAGGAAGGATTATTAAAGACCCCCATTGGAACTGTGGCCTATTCATTTTCTGTGTAAACCATGGGGTTCCTGTGCAGACAGTGATGTGCCAACACGAACCCAGACAGCTGCTGTACTAAAGCTGCTCTGAGTGCAGGTGGGGAAACAGCTTGTGATATTAACAAGACTAGATCCTTCTTGTGGCTTTCTATAGCCTTTATTTAAAATACAGAAAAATGCTTTCAAAGACTTATTTATAACTGTATCAAGCACAGATTGCACCAACATTATGCTGCAATGAGCACATGTGTTATTCATACTGATATTAAGTATTTTTCTTTTTTGAAATAGCCAAAGAGAAAAAACATGTTTCCTGACGATGGTTTCAGATAGGAGCTACTAAAATCATATCAATGAAACAAACTTGGGTGAAAATAGCTTTTTTGGAATTTAAAAAAATCATGAAAACAAACAAACAAAAAGATTCAGTGTAAACAGAGAAATTGAGACAGAAGAAATGAATTTTTTAAACAAAGGTTTTATGAATATCACAGCTGTCACACGCATTTTTTCTCCTTCATATAAAGATCATAATTAAATTAGATTTGAATGTTCCACATCACTATGGGTTTGTATTTTTTTCTAACTCCTCAATAAGCCTTAACAGAGTTCTTAATATCGAAAACTTACTAATTGTTTTCCCTAAAGTTTTACTAAGCTCCTACTATGTTCTACAGCTCTGTTAAGTATTATGACCAACATAAAGATATCCAAGCTATGTTTTTGGCCTCCAGAAATGTATACCTCTTTGGGAAGAAAGAAATGTTCGTTAAGTGTCTATGAGCATAAAAAGGGGCAAACATTTTAAAAAGCAGTATGGGCCAAGCGATGTGGGCTCTGCCACTTAGTGCACAATCTTCAGAGATTTATTTTAAATCTCTGGCCTCAGTTTACTTATCTTTAAAATGAGGATCAAACCATTATCTAACTTATAGGTTTTCATCAAGTATTAGAGGAGATAATGCAAGCAAACTGCTTTGAAACGATCTTGGCACATAATAAACATTTAGGAAATAGCTGTTACTATTCTATGGTAATTCATAGAAGGTGGGGGTTATTTGGGGATGACATTGACTAAGGAGCTACACAGAAGAAAATTTATTGCTTTCAGAGCATTGAAAATAATTATTTGATTTAGTCACTGAAGGAGTGACTCAATCACTCCTAGTGGGCATCTCAGGTCTAGGAAAAATATTGAACAAACTTTATGTAACTATGAATGAGCAAGTTGTACATTTTAGAAAGTGATACAGTCATAGGACATACAATTGAAAGGAAGGAATGAATTTGTGGAAAGATTTGATGTTAGATTGGTAAATAGATATAGAACAGGGACATAAGTAAATACAGTGAAGGACAAAATTCAAATAATTTCTTATCAAGCATTTTCACTCAATCTTTTTCACCCTATGATTAAACTTGAATAATTCTTATTAAAGTTATCATTTCATTTGACATTTCAATTACATTCACTCCCAACTCAACACCATGAGTTGTTCCACTATTTCTCCATATTCACATTGCTTTAATTCTATTGAATTTCCATAATATCCCTATTTTTCTACAAATTGACCTTTCTTTCTCTTAGGGAATGCATTTTTAGGTTTGGTTATTTCAAATACCTCAAATATCTATCTCAGCCTGAGCATATATGCATACTCTCAGGCTTAACTTTCAAGGGAACTCTGTTTTAACACTGGACATTTATTGGTTTTAAAGCCTTGGGCACTCACTTATTTTCTTCATGTATCAATTTTCCCAATTTTAGTAACATTAAAAATGCCTGCTTCGTATGCAAGTGGTGATTAAGACAGCTGGTAACAGATCAGACCCTTGAAATTACTATATAATATAAAATAATTATTATTGTTAATATTCTTCATGTTACTACTTTAAAAAAAAACCTTTACTTTAGAAAAATGCTTCTAATAAGTCTATTTCGGTCAAATATAATGGCTTAAGTATTTTTTCAAATGGACAGTTAAGCCAACTAACATTACTCTTAAAGAAAGCTCATCTTACTATTGGCAAAAATAAAACCAACATTAAACTCTGTTTTCTTACAAGTAAAGGGGAGACAATTGTTTCAAAAGTGGAAGCAAATATTTTCAAGATGGAACAATTAACTTTAAAAGCATGAGATACTACATTACAAAATAGAAACTTCTGTATGCAACCTAATTATGAACACATTATTTTTCAAGGATAAGACTGCATATAATGTTATTTTCTAGATTATATATTTTGAATTGTTAATAAAGATTAAATACAACCTCAAAATAATTTTAATAAATGTTTGTAATAATTCTGACACCCTATCTTTTGCTACATTCATCCCAGGCTATCAATAAAGTCCTTGGGGAGGAGAATTAATTTCCGTTTACAGAGATCAGCTCACTTTTTTCCAAAGAACTGGGAAGAAAGTAAATAACAAATGTTTAATATTGTGCTTGTAGATTTAGGCCTAAATATTTTTTAAGGGAAGAAGTGGAAAACTATTGTCTAAGAAGGTATTATAATAAATATCTTTGAAAAGGGAGACAAGACAGTTAAGAAAAACAAAAAGACCATCCCTCAATCCTCATTATTTTGTCTTTTACTTTTCAGCATACAAGTAACGTAATATAAAAGGTAAGAATTGTATCACACATCAAATTAATTCAGAACATGACAGGAAAGGCAGACAAGTGGATGTTTTAGAAATGAATAGAGTTCATGAAGTATTTAATAAGTATTGATCCTGATTTCACCAGGGGGTAAACTACTCCCCGCTACTAAGTTAAGCACTTTTGAGAAAGCTACATCAACTGTAAGGTCGGTAGTTCAACTAATATGCAGCCATGAGCTATTGGTTCAACACTTTCCCTCATCAAGGCAGGGCTTCTCCCACATCCTCCCGCACTGGCTATGGCTCCCATTTGAAAATTGAACAGATTAATATTTTTGAATATAGGGCATGAGGGTGGGGTCATCATGGAGAGTCTCAAAATGATGGTATGGAAATGAGCCACTAATCTGTTACTGCCATGGACAGAGAAAAAGATTATTTTCTGCAGTTGTTTTAAAATCTTCAAAAGGCCACTTCAGTCACTCCATGAAACCTGATTCCATCCTGGTTTTCCTCTTTTTTTTTTTTTTTTTTTTTTTGTTATTTTCAGTTTTATTACAACATCATAGAGACTAGAGTCTCAGCATAACTATAAGAAAGATCTTAGGTACAACACTACTTCTTTTGCTGAATTTTTAAACTGTATGCTTATATGTCAGTCTCTTTGGATGTCAATTTTCCATCTGAGCTTTGATGCTTATCAGGCTCAAAAGCTAACTGAACAGAAGGAAGTGATTTAATAGCCTGTGCTTCAAAATGTTCCATAAAAGAATTAACTAATGTATTAACAACTTTATAGTCTAACTCTTCTTTCCCTTTCTCCTTCATTCTGTGCTTCCAGATCAGCACATTGAACAGGAAACTTGAAAGCCATTTTAAAATTGAAGAGAGTAGAGATGTCCTGGGAAGAATTTTTTTCTCTTTTTTAACTGTGCCTTATGCTATGGACAATGTAACTACTGCCTGGCAGCAGTCCGCTGGGTCTTTCAAAAGACCTTTTCTTAGTTTCATCAACGTGCTTCCCAGAAGATCAGAATAATTGTACTTATACCTATGGCTTCACGCAGTTTGTAGCTACATGGGATATTTTCCTAAGATCTGATACTTTATTAAGCTGGCTGGATTTCATAGATTTAAAAAAAATATGTAAAACCTGTGCTAATATGAGAGTATAAATATGATAGAATGAGCAATTTTACCACTATTACCTTCTGATAGAGTTCAAATTTGGGTTAATTTGCATAAGGCCTCAATGCAGATTGGTCACAGTTGTAATCATCGTCTCTATTTTTTATGTGATCAAGATGAGGATAATAATAACCTGGCACTGGTCAAGAAGATGACCTAGGAAAATAGCTCCATCATCTCAATCCCCATCCAGGGCTTGCTTCACCTAAAATGAGTATCAATCACCGAAATATTTGCTTAATCTCAGATTTACTGGGGAGCTAATATAGACTCAAAAACAAATTCTGAGATGCTGTCAACCACTAACATCCTCCACGCTATACTAACCTTGTTCTTTTATTTTCGTTGTAATTTCTTTTTGAAAGCTATCACTTAGGTATGGCTTAGCTGTTAAAATAGCATAGCTCTAAGGGAACTTACATGTGTTGCACTTGTGAATGCCGTTTACTTATGTATTAACAGTAGTTTTCGTAATGATTACCATAAAAATGTTTTGAACTATAAGTTAAAAGTGTGCACATATTTAGATTTTTCTCCTAGCTCTGGTTGACAGAGGTCTCCTATCCTTACCCAGACAGGTTATTCCTTTAATGGATCAGATGAAAATTCTTATAAAATTTCAAATTATATAGAGATGAAAAACATTGAAAAAAAGTAATAGAGGCCGGGCGCAGTGGCTCACGCCTGTAATCCCAAAACTTTGGGAGGCCGAGGCGGGCAGATCACGAGGTGAGGAGATTTGAGACCATCCTGGCTAACACAGTGAAACCCCGTCTCTACTAAAAATACAAAAAGTTAGCCGGGCCTGGGGGTGGGCGCCTGTAGTCCCAGCTACTCGGGAGGCTGAGGCAGAATGGCGTGAACCCAGGAAGCGGAGCTTGCAGTGAGGCGAGATCGCGCCACTGCACTCCAGCCTGGGCGACAGAGCGAGACTCCGTCTCAAAAAACAAAGTAACAGAGGTTTAACTCAGTGGTCCCAATGCTGGCATTGTATAGCAAACAAAATATGTTTCTTAAATTTATGTACACAGTTAACGTGTTCCTACTAAAATTCCAAAATATATTTTCTAGCAATGTAACAAATAGATTTAAATATGCCCCTTGGATAATAACAAGGTAAGGTTAGCAAATACTCTTTTGAGGTAGAAGATTATTGAAAAGGCACTAACTTTATCAACCAATAATTTAAGCTGTGAAGGATTTGCATAAATATTGTCATTTCTATCTACAGAATAAAAAATTTTATATCATATAGAAAATTTAAAATATAGAAATAAACATACATGCACAAAAGATTAAATGCAACTAATGTTGCAGAACATATTTGTCAGAGAAATTACAGCTATACCTCACACCAAGTAACAAAACTTTAAACTGATTTTAAACTTTTCATGGTAATTATTAGTGAAAAATGAATAGTTGCTATAAAGAGAAAATGAGATGATTTCGGAATCCCAGCAACAGAAGCATTTTTGCGGTAACATAACAGGAAAGGGCCAATAATGTGAGGCTGTTCTTTGTAATTCTTTGTATCTCTTGGAGGGATAGGACCAAGTCATGAGTTTAAGGGTAAGTTTGAGTTGAGTTAGTAGTTCAGCTATATGTTTATGAGCTTCTGACAAGCACTTATCATAGAGAGAAGTTTCATAGCTTATGTAATAGTAGGAAGTTAAACCACTATAAACACAGTGTAATGTAAACATATTTACATGAAGTATTTTCATTTTAAGAACTGAAATTACCTTGTCTCTGTACTTACCTTGTCTCTAAGTGTCTTAAGGAGGAACTTAGTGTTAAGACACAAAAGAGTTACTAAGTATTTCAGGATGTAAAGCAGTGTTTTCCACAAAACTACCCTTGAATAATTAAAGTCATCATCTATTCAAGCCCCTTCAAAATGCTGTATATTATGGGGCATAACCTCAGTTATTATATTTTGAACCAAACACGGTGTACAAAAGACACATTGGTTTAAAACAATGTCAACAAACGAAAATCTTTGCTACATTTAGATATCTCCAAATAAAGTTGGTTAAAAAAAAGGTATTTAACACAGATTTGGTCATGATTTCCAGGGAAGTGTCACAAATTTCACAAAAATTCACAATTTTTTCACAACAGCAAGGCTAATGCTATTGTCAACCCTTTTAGGAGATAGCTGTATCAACTTATGTGTAACACATTAACTAGCTCTACTTAACCACTTAAGGATCATGAAAATTAACCTCCAGGGCAAAAACAAGTGAGCAAAAAAACAAACAACACCAGTTCATATATTTTGCAAATGAATATTTATGTCTCATTAAAAAAACTAGGAACAGTAGCATGTATAGATTTTAAAGGACATATATTTTAAATAACTTGAATAGCAGTGAAAATGAGGTGCTCAAGAAGGTACATAGGAGGCAGAAAATGTAATTTTGTAATAAAAGTCCATGATAACAAAAACATAGGTAAGATTTTTTTTGAACTATTATTTGAAATGAGGGAAGAATAATTTAATATTTTCCAATGAATGTTATATGTGATGTTATTTTTTTTTTTTTTTTTTTTTTTTTTTTTTTTTGAGACGGAGTCTCGCTCTGTCGCCCAGGCTGGAGTGCAGTGGCGGGATCTCGGCTCACTGCAAGCTCCGCCTCCCGGGTTCACGCCATTCTCCTGCCTCAACCTCCCAAGTAGCTGGGACTACAGGCGCCCGCCACTACGCCCGGCTAATTTTTTGTATTTTTAGTAGAGACGGGGTTTCACCGTTTTAGCCGGGATGGTCTCGATCTCCTGACCTCGTGATCCGCCCGCCTCGGCCTCCCAAAGTGCTGGGATTACAGGCGTGAGCCACCGCGCCCGGCCGTGATGTTATTTTTTATACTATTCCCAAGTGCATATTCATTTAATAAATTAGTATTTTAAAAGCTGTGACTACTTTAGCTACATTGCCATGAGTTTATGTACTCAACTTGCCGTACCCCGAAATTAAGCCTTAAAAATCCTATAGAAAGTTTATCTGATATTTGAAAATACTCTACTTTTCTAAAACTTGAAGTGAAAAAAAAATTCCTTATATGATTTCCAAAAGTGTTCATATGTTGATTTTGCTTATACAAACTTACATACTTATAAATATACATATATATAATATATATATATTTGAATGTGTTTTGGATGTGGGTATTATTTTTATATATATAGAATATTTTAATCTATGCATTTTTCAGAAAATTTCATCACTTAATCATATATCTGAAAAACATATCCTTTTTCTACACATATATTTGTATGTGCGTGTAGCTTTTTCTGCTATGTAAGTATTCCATAACATAGATTTACAACTATTTGTTTATTCATTAAAATGGTGATGAACAGCAGCATATTAAAATCCCACTGCAAAAAACAAAGCTATCATAAAAGACTTTGTTCCTGGCTCTTTATGTTCATGTCCAAATATTTTCTAGGCCAGTTACCAAGAATTTCACTGTTGGGCTATCAACAGTTTTAATATTAAGAGTTAACACATACTACTCTTTGAAAGGCAGCACCTCCTTTAGAAAAAGGAGAATTTACATCCAACATGCTGATACTTAATGTCATCAATCTCCGTGTGTGTGTGTGTATATATATATATGTGTGTGTATATATGTGTGTGTATATATATGTGTGTATATATATATTCCAATTTAATGGATAAGTCTCATGGTTATTTTAATTTGCATTTTTCTGACTACTTATAAGATTCCATATAGTGTATTCTACATGCATATTTTTCAGTCATGTCTATAATATGAATTTTAAAGTGTTTTTATTGTGGCAAAATGTACACAACATAGAATTCTCCATTTTCATTGTTTCTAAATATACCTTTCAGTGGCATTAAATACATTCTAATTGTTGGCAACCATCACCACAATTCATTCCCAGAACTTTTTCATCTTCTCAAGCTGAAACTCTATATCTCACTTAAATTAAGTCATACAATATTTGCCCTTTTACTTCTGGCTCATTGTACTTAGATGACTTCAAGGTTTATTAATGTCATAATATGTTTTAGAATTTTTTTGAAGTCTGAAATTTTGGATTGACTGTTTATACTTTTGCCTACCCTTTATGATATGGTAATGTGTCATCGTTAGAAATTGGAAGCCAACACAAAATAGGACTGTTTCTCATTGAAGAAATCCTCAGTATAGGAAATGGATGTCTGCTCTCTGCACTCGAACCTTGTCGAATTCAGTTGTTTCTGTATTATTAAGTAGATGATTTTAATGACAAGAATTGTATGTTTATAGTGTACAACTTTTTGATATACCTATACTTTGTGGAATGGCTAAATCAAGTTAGTTAACACATGCATTACACCTCATATACTTTTTTTCACTTGAAGTCTATTCATTTAGTAATTTTCTGGCATATAATACATTGTTATTATCTATGCTCAACATGTAATACAATATATTTCTTGAACTTATTCCTAACTGAAATTTTGTATTCTTTGACCAACATTTCCCCAGTTCTCTTCCCATCCTCAGTCCCAGGTAACCACCATTCTCTTCTCTGCTTCCGTGAGTTTGACTTTTTAAGATTCCACATATAAATGAGATCATGCAGTATTTGTCTTCTGGTGCCTGGCTTATTTCACTTAGCATAATGCCCTCCAGTTTCAACCACATTGTTGCAAATGATAGGATTTCATCATTTTTCAAGGCTGAATAGTACTACATTGTGTATATATACTACATTTTCTTTATCCATTTATCCTTTGATAGACACTTAGGCTAATTACATAGGGTGGCTACTGTGAATAATGCTGAAGCAAATATGAAAGTGTAGATATATTTTTGATACACTGACTTCATTTTCTTTGGATATATAACCAGTAGCTGGGTTGCTGGATCACATGGAAGCTCTATTTTTAATTTTTTGAGACATCTCCCTACTGATTTTTCATAGGCTGTACTAATTTACAGTCTCATCAACACTGTACAAGGGTTCCCTTTACATCTTCACCAATACTTGTCTCTTATTTTTTGATAATTGCTGTCTACATGTGTGAGGTTATCTCACGTTTTTAACTGTCTTTCTCTATTAGTGATGTTGAGTATGTTTTGTGTGTTTATTGACCATTGGCACATCTTGTCCGGAGACATGCATTAGGTCACTATCACATAGATGCTCAGGAGGCTGTGGCACAAGAATCACTTGAACCCAGGAGGCAGAGGTTGCAGTGAGCCGTGGTCGTGCCACTGCACCACTCCAGCCTGGACGATAGAGCGAGAACTCCGTCTCAAAAAATAAAAACAAAACAAAACAATAACAACAACCACCAAAACCTGAGGCTGGGCATAGACGCTCATGCCTGTAATCCCAGCACTTTGGGAGGCCAAGGTGGGTGGATCACTTGAGGCCAGGAGTTCAAGACTAGCTTGGGCAACATGACAAGATGCTGTCTCTACAAAAAATGCAAAAGTTAGCCAAGTGTGGTGGCACATACCTGTAGTCCCTGCTAGTTGGGGGACTGAGGGAGGAGGATCACTTGATCATTTGATCACTAGTGTGACAAAATGAGACCCTGTCTCAAAAAAAAAAAAGAAAAAAGAAAAAAGAAAGAAAGAAAGAAAAAGAAAAAAGAAAAAAAAGAATACCTGAGACTGGGTAATTTATTAAAAAATGAGGTTTAGGTGGCTCACAGTTCTGCTGGCTTTATAGGAGGCATGGTGCTGGCATTTGCTCGGCTTCTAGGCCTCAGGAAGCTTACAATCACGGCAGAGAAGCTTACAATCATGGCAGAGAGTGAAGGGGGAACAGGTACATCACATGGCAAAAGCAGGAACAAGCAGGAGAGACTGAGGTAGAGCAGTGCCACACTTTTAAACAAGCAGATTATGTGAAAAGTTACTATCTCGAAGAAGCCATGAAGGATCCACTCCCATGATTCAAACACCCCCCACCAGGCCCCACCTCCAGCATTGGGCATTACAATTCAACATGAGATTTGGGTGGGAACAAATACCCAAACTATTACCAAATGTCTAATGTCCAAAATTTTTTTACTTCCTTCTTGCCTGTGCTTCTGGTTTCACATCAAAGATGTCACTTTCAAGTCTAATGACAAAGTTTTTCCCTTATGTTTTCTCCTAAGATTTTTGTAGTTTTGGCTCATATTTAGATATCTGATCCATTTGAATTAATTTTTATATACGGTATAAGGCAAAGGTCCAACTTTTTTTTTTCACATGAAGCTATCTACTTTTCCCAGCACAGTTTGTTGAAAAGACTCATTTTCCCATTGAATGGTCTTGACAAACTTGTTGAAAATCATTTGATTGTATATGTGAGTTTACTTCTGAGCTATTTGATACCATTGTTCTGTGTATCTATCATTACGCCATTACCCCAGTTTTGATTCCTGTAGTTTTGTCGCAAGTTGTGAAATCAGGAGGCATGAGACTTCTACTTTTATTCTTCTTAGAAATTATTATACCTTATAAATCATATTCCATTTACATATATTAGTAGATTATACAATTCTTGGAGACTTCAACCCTCTTTTTTTTAATACAGCGACTTGAACAGAGCAGAATCTTATAAGTGGTTGTCAGGTAAGTGATTAGCCAGCTTATTAGTTTCCCTTCCAAATATAATTTTGAAACTAATTCTTTTTACACTTTATCTTAGTTTCACATCTCTATCTTCTTTGTTACATTCTCTAAAACAAATGTCTTAATGTTGTCTTTAATATTTTGCAAATATTTTCAGCTATCCTAAAAGTGTTGATTGAGCTGAGTTGCATTATGAAGTAAAATTTGTTGAAAAGTCATTGAGGCAAATAGAGTAAGGCAAATTTCTTATACCTATATTAAACATATCTGAGGGATATGATCTGAGGGATAAAATTAATAGGATATTTATAATGGTATTAGAAAACCTGAAGGCTAAAGCAAATTAGAATGTTAAGTTACAAAGTTAAACTGCCTAGCAGAGAAGAGTTAAAATATATAAGCAAAGAAGAAGATAATTTTTTTTTTGCTGAGATTCAATGAGAGTTAATGAAATAAAGGGTGCTGGAAGTCTGCTCCAAATAGTAGACTACCAGTGGCAGGAATTGCAGAGCTGGGCTGATGTCATACTGGCCACGACGCTTGTTGAGGGAGATGGGACCAGAGGAGAATTTTTGAGAAGCAGAGTTTGAAGTGGTTTCAGTAGTGCTTCTATGATAATTACATAGAATTTTGTTATCCTAACAATAAAAAACAAACGCTTCTGACACATCCTGATATAGAGAACAGTTATCAAAAAACAAAGGCATTTTGTATATTGTATCAGAAATCAAAAACATTAGTATCTAAACTGACTGTGTACTTAATATTTGAGGTGCAGTTAATGACTTTCTAAGCACTTCCTTATTAGCTAGAAAATGGTGGAGGTAGAATGGATCCCTAGTCTGCCTTATGCCAAAGACCACAAGTACTTCTGGCCTCTTTCTGTTGTCTCTGAGACATTTTCTGACAGTGCAACAGAGAATACAGCAAAGACTCTTATCCTTCATCCTTTCGCATTTTTTTTTCTATTTCTAAAGCTAATTGAAATAGATTGTTCATTTTGGTCTTCATAGTCTACACAGAGAATCAGCAGGAATAAGAATAACGAGGCAAAATAAAAATTTTATAATAAACATAATAAACCTTCTCCAAATGATTTCAGGACAATGTAGTTGAAAAACCTCATAGCAAAACAATTTTTGTCTTTAAGACCTCATAGTTTTAAAATAGAATTTAGAGCAAGATTTTATTGTCTAGAACCAAAGAGTTAAACTTTCTTATCTATTCAGTCTATTGTCAAATATTATTTTTCTCTCAATATGAAGTATATACTTTATTATTAGAAATAAACTCATCAGTAATAATTATTCTGAGGTTTCATGGTATAAAAACCTTACAGTATAAAAGTCTTACTGTTTCTGAGCCTCTACAATTTAGACACAGGTTTCTCTCTTAGGTGTATGTAACAATTATTAAGAGCTGTCAAAGTACGGGGTACTCATCTCTGTGGGAATACAAAATCTAAGAATAATTCCTGATCTTATAATTTATTTAAGAATAAGAGACATAAAGTTAACTTGCTAAATGAATGGGGTACAGGTGGTAAATGTTTTGAATATTGCGTGGAAAAAAATCGCTGGGTATCTTCTAACTGATGTCTAAAATAGTTTGGGGATTTTCTCTCTCTCTCTCTCTCTCTCTCTCTCTCTCTGTGTGTGTGTGTGTGTGTGTGTGTGTGTGTGTTTTGATGATAAATCATATATTCTGCTAAGGAGTTTAGCAGCTCCATGCTTTCAACACCTACATGTAACTGACAACCAGTACTGGGAATTCTGAACAATATATTCGTAAGAATGTGGACCTCTTTTATTGTTAAACTATGTCATTTTTATTTTTGGTTGTTTCTTCTTTAAATTGGAATTCGGAAAATATTCTTAACCTCACTTTCTTAGTATAGACCAAGTTTTGTCTATGTGCATACCACATTAAAAAAGAAGCTACATTTTTAAACAAGATAGTTTTGACTATCTTGTAGAAAATGAAAGATCTTTCTCTTCAATACTTACATTGATTTATACTAAACTTATTTTCAAGTGGATTGTCCCACCCATGTATTATATAATTATCAGTTGTCCTTTACTGAATTAAGTGTCATTATAGAATTTCTCTAGAGTCTGTTCAGGCAGTACTTCTTTTTCTGCTTCATGACAGCCAAGATTGACATAGTGGAGGCCACTCCTTGATTAAAATAAATGGTAGTCAGTGTATATAAAATCTGAATGTCAGCATGAGTACTTTTGTGGATATTTTAAAAATACATAATCTTCTCCCAAAAATCTAAAATAAAATTTATTTACTTTAGGCACACAAGTTTAGCAGATGTGGTTTTTAAAATAAGTTTCTAGCTCATATTTTCTGGATGAAAACAAGTTATTTGTGTTAGGTTTTTTTTTTTTCTAAAGGCAAAGCACATTGAGCAGGTCAGAACTAAATCCTTGAGTCTATGTGATTTATTTGGCTACATCTTTAGAGCAATCTTATCAGACCTACTCCCACTCCAGTCAATAGTGTCAGTTTAGACCAGAAAGCAACTTAGATAAAAGATTTTAAAAAAATAAATCATCGAACACTAAATAGTCCCAAGTGATTTATTATAAGGAAAGATATGCACTGACGAAAAAGTACAAGACAGAAAATAAGCAGCTTAAGAATGTTTTTAATACTATGTTCTATTATCTAAGAATGTTAAAAGCAAACACCTATTTTCTATTTTTTAGAAACAGAATTTTAGAAAGTAAATTGTTTTAAATCACTTTAGTTCTTTTTAGTGTTAGATCTTTTTTTAAAGGAAAGCTTTTATTAAACTCTAACAGAGATTATGTTTTAGATAGAAACTGAAGTTATGTAAAGCAAATTTGTAAAGAAACAATTTGTTGTCATTTGCAGGCTGATGTGAAATCTCTACAACAAATTCCTTGGAGATTTTCATCCTTGTAACAGTTTTACTCTCTCCAACAGTAGCCCTGTCTTAGCTTTTCTGTGATTTTGATAGTCACATAGACAATCCTTCCAAAATCTTGGTCCTCAGTTCCTTAACCTCCTCTTTTTGAATGATTGTTCTCTATCCCTAGTACACCATACCCAATAGCCTTTATTAATCAATTATTACATTTTCTCCATTGGAAACTGTTTCTCCATTTCTTCATTTCAAGCTTCCTACTCTCCAGACATTGCCTTCTCTTGTTCAAGGGTCCTCCTATTAATTCCCCAGATTCAACAATTACTATTTCTTCCTGTAACTTATAGCCATTGAACTTAGCACATGCCCACTGTCTTTTATTCCTTCATGTGCTAACTTCCACCCTTAGTCAGCTTAAATCTCATGCTCCACCATCCCTTGCATTTAGCCTCCACTTCAATACCTCCCCCATCCTCCCAGTTATGATTGCCTGGAAATGCCTATATCCTAGTTCAATTGAATTATCTGATTAGTCTACTCCTATAACTGGACTGATGAGAAAGATTGAAATAAACATAATCATGCTGACCTTATGTTCCTATCCAATGCCAAGCAACACAATTGGGACAAACTAAATGGTATCGCATCAACTCAAGGACATCACTTCAACACTTCTCTGCTTTCCTCTGTACCATTAATTTGATTTCTTCACCACATCATTCTGATTAGCATACAATATGCTGCAATATCTGTTTTTTTTTTA